>NC_000004.12:188618350-188921381 GCF_000001405.40 Homo sapiens | reverse complement strand
CTTTCATCTTAAAAAAGACTTGAGTGCTACAGTACAGCAACATATGCAATGCTAGGATACACTTGCTTCACACAAATTCTATAATTTGTTATTTAAGATTCTGGTAGATTTTTTTTCCTGAGAAAAACTGACAAGCGGGATGTTAATGGAACAAGCCATACCTGTTCATGGGCTGCAACTGGTACTGGTCATCATTCTTTTCTACTGGTCATTCTAAATTTCTTTCACCGTCAGCTATGACTTCTGTTGGTCTAGACACCTTACTTCGTGAGATTACCAACATCTTCCTCACTGTGAAGTCTAAAGCTCTGGTCACTATGGATTTCTCAAGCTACAGCTTCTGTATTTGTCCATTTACAATCAAAATTGGATAAGTGGGTTCTAAGAGATAACAAAGTGGATGCTAAAGGTACCCTGCGTACTTTCACTATACAACAGCAAACCTACCTCTTCATGACATTGAGGGTTATCCTCCACATCCTCTCACCCCAGGAAGATGGTTCTTCTTGTTCTTATTTGGGTATGAGAAGCCTAAGTTCTGTGGATGGCAGCTGCCGCTTTATGTTTAATATCATTGCTGAGACCTCCTCTACAGAACTATCCCCTCTTTAGGAGCCAGAACTTCTGAGTCCAGAGTTGCAGAGCAAGAAATCACAAAGTCACTAGATAGGTTACTGGGAGTAACCTATTGGTTGGACCCCTACTGGGTCCTCTTTTTCCACCCCTAGGCTCCCAGACCTAAGGAGTTTACCAATTGGAGGCCCAGCACCATAGGTGATTATTAATTTTTTTTTGAGGTGGATTCTCGCTCTATCACCCAGGATGGAGTGCAGTGGCGTGATCTTGGCTCACTGCAAGCTCCAGCCCCTGGGTTCAAGCGATTCTTGAGACTCAGCCTCCCAAGTAGCTGGAACTACAGGCATGCACCACCACACCCAGCTAATTTTTTTTGTATTTTTAATAGAGACGGGGTTTTGCTATGTTAGCCAGGCTGGTCTTGAACTCCTGGGATTACACGTGTAAACCACCCACCCAGCCGGAGGCAAACATCTTAAGAAACCACTTAAAATTATTTCCTGGGATCTAGAAAGCACTATGAAGTACTACCCCCATTTTGACAACAACAAACAAAACAATAAACACAGTGGGCTAGGTATAATCACTATTATTGGTGGAAAAAAAAAAGACCAAATTCATCACAAGGGAATGAAAATATTTGTCAATATGAAAGGGTCCTAAGGGTTTTTTTTCTGCCTCAAGTGTTCAAATTATTTTATTTTGCTATATAAAATAATTCAAAGGTTTCATGGTCATTTGATTGACATGCATAAAAGATTATTCCATCAGGAAATCTAATTATTCTTAGGAGAATGTGCTCTTAAAAATCTGTTCTCCTATACTGCATTGTAAAAGACAAATTGAATTGACATAAGATTATGTGCGTGTCAAATGTGGTTCATTTCCTGACAGAAACATGTTGGCTGACAAAAGTATCAAAAGTCTTACTCAAAATCCCATTTTTTATTTTTAATTATTTGTGAAGACCAAAGTCGAAGGATATGTCTCATATTAATTTAATCTTTCTGTTTTTGGAAAGATTTTATAATAAAATATAAAATTAAGCTGAATTGACATACCTTTCTTCAGAAGACATTTGGCATCAATGGAAATAATTATTATACTCTTCTAGAATGCCTGGATAAATTGTGAATTGAGCATAATTTATCAGAATGTTATTTTCCTTCAAGAAATGAAACAAGGAAACACTGTAACCCATTCACCTTCCATGATGCCATTTGCTTCAGACACTTTCCCACACTATGAACTCCTACAGGAAAATCATTGTCTTTCTTATATATCATTACCTATATTTCAAAAAGATGAATGATTAAAAATGTCTGCCCTGGGAGATCACCGTATTTGCATGTCTGTGCTTTCACAAGCACTATTACCCTCAGCTATAATTCATTTTTGAAATGCCAAAAATGAGGTAGAATAATGTTTACCAGATTTAACCTTGTTCACTTTAGTGGTTGAAATGAATCCTCAAATAGGGGCAAAAGAGACGAAAGCAGAAAAATAACAAAATTAGCAGTCCCCATCTAGAGATTTGTGTGTACAGTCAATTGTGTTTATTAGCATAACTTCGAGAGGCTAAAATGTTCTGCTTATTTATAAGAAGCACTGGATGCACAAACAATAGCAGCAGTATGTATATAATGATGACAAACTAACACGAGATACATTTGAATTTGAGAGTTAATTCATAGTGATCTAGTGGAGTTTGGAGTAAAGCACAGTGACTTCCAACAGTGTTTTGGCACTGTGACCTTAGACAGCTTGCCAGCACACTGGCCATCTTCCTGCCTCAGCCTCCCAAATCACTGGGGTTACAGGCATGAGCTACGGGGCACATCTCTCAGTTTAAATCAAAAGCCAGAAATAACAAAGCTCAGTGAGGAATGCATGTGTTGAAAGCTGAGATAGGCTGAAAGCTAGTCTTCTTTCAGCAAACAGCTCAGTTGTGAATTCAAAGGAAAAGTTTTGGGCTTGGTGTGGTGGCTCATGTCTGAAATCCCAGCATTTTGGGAGGCCGAGGCAGGTGGATCACTTGAGGTGAGGAGTTGGAGACCAGCCTGGCCACTATGTTGAAACCCTGTCTCTACTAAAAATACAAAAATTAGCTGAGCATGGTGGTGCATGCCTGTAACCCCAACTACTCAGGAGGCTGAGGCAGGAAAATTGCTTGTACCTAGGATGCAGAGGTTGCAGTGAGCTTAGATTGCACCACTGCACTCCAGCCTGGGTGATAGAGTAAGTATGACTCTGTCTCAAAAAAAAAAAAGGAAAGTTCCAGAAGGAATTAAAAGTGAGACTCTAATGAGCACACCAGTGATAAGAATGCCAAACAGCCTGATATGGAGAAAGTTTTAGTGTCTGGATAGAAGATCAAATCAGTCGGAATATTCCCTTAAACTGAAGATTAATCTGGAGCAAGGTCCTAATTCTTTTCAGTTCCCTGAAGGCAGACAGAGGTGAGGAAACTGAAAAAGAAAAGCTGCAAGCAAGCAGAAGTTAGTTGCTAAGGCTTAAAGAAAGAAGCAGTCTTCGTTCATTAAAAAAAGTGGAAGATGAAGCAGTAATTGCTGATCTATAAGCTGCAACAAGTTATCCAGAACATTTAGCTAAGATTATTGATGAAGGTCGCTACCTGAAACAACTGATTTTCAATGTAGATGAAACAACCTTCTATTGGAAAAACATGTCATCTAGGGCTTTCATAGCTAAAGAGGAGAAGTCAATGCTTGGCTTCAAAATTCAAAGGACAGGCTGACTCTCCCAGTAGGGAATAATGCAGCTGGTGACTATAAGTTGAAGACAGTGCTTATTTACCACCCCAAAAATCCTAGGTCCCTTAAGGATTATGCTAAATCTCTGCCCATGCTCATGCTCTATAAATGGAAGAACAAAGCCTACATGACAACACATTACAGCATGGTTTACTCAATATTTTAAGCCCACTGTTGAGACCTACTGCTAAATAAAAAGATTCATTTCAAAGTATTACTGCTTCCTGACCATGCCTCTGGTCACCCAAGAGTTCTAATGGAGAAGTACAAGGAAATTAATTTTGTTTTCATGCATGCTAACACATGGTCATTTCATAGCCCTTAAATAAAGGAGTAATTTCAACTTTCAAGTCTTATTATTTAAGCAATACATTTCATGTAGCTATCACTTCCATAGGTAATGATTCCTCTGAGGCATCTAGGCAAGGTAAATTGAACACCTTCTGGAAAGGATTTACCACTCTAGATGCCATTAAATACATTTGTGTTTCATGAGAGGTGTTCAAAATAGCAATATTAACAGGAGTTTGGAAGAAGCTGATTTTAACCCTCATGGATGACTTTGAAGGATTCAAGACTTCAGTGGAAGAAGTCACTGCAGTTGTGGTGGAAATAGCAAGGGAGCCGAAATTAGAGATGAAGCCTGAAGATGTGACTGAATTTCTGCAATTGCATGATAGAACTTGAATGGAGGACCACTTGCTTCTTATGGATGAACAAGGAAAGTGGTTTCTTATGATGGAATCTACTCCTATGAATATGCTGTGAACACTGTTGAAATAACAACACAGGATTTATAATATTCCATAACTTAGTTGAAAAGGTTGTGGCAGGGTTTGAGAGGATTGGTTTCAATTTTGAAAGAAGGTTTACCATGCTACCTTGGGCAGAATGTAATCAAACAGAATTGGATGTTACAGAGAAATCTTGTGAAAGGAACAGTCAATGGATGTGGTAAACTTCATTGTTGTCTTTTTTTAAGAAACTGCCACAGGAACTCGAGCCTTCAGCAGCTACCATCTTGATCAGTCTGCGGCCATCTACACTGAAGCTAATTCCTCCACCAGCAAAAAGCCTATGACTCCCTGAAGTCTCAGGTGACCATTAGCATTTTTAACAGTAAAGTATTTTTAAATTTATGTACATTTCTTAGACATAATGTTCTTGCAAACTTAATAGAATATACTGTAGTGTAAACATAACTTTTGTATGCACTGGGAAACTCCAAAATTTGGATGACTCACTTTATAGTGAGATTCACTTTATTTTGGTGGCCTAACACCAACCTGCAGAATCTCTGAGGTATGAGTATGGCTGTACTTATCATCTCAGCCTGGGTGTCATGAATACTGTGCTCTACTACCCAGATCTCTATTTTGGGAAAGAAGTATGTTTCCTCCCAGCAATTCAGGTTTTCCAGCAACTGATCTCAGTGGCTGGTCTTTTCCTGGAATTTCCTTCACCTGAAGATCGTTGCCTTACCCAAGAAGACATTCTTCCCCAAAGATAGCCCACCACAGAGGCAGGAACCAAAATGTCTGCTAGTACCCTTTGGGCTTTGAAATGGATGTATTTTAAACCTGGAAATAGTGATCCAGTCACATACTGGGCAATATAAATGCTGTCAACATTGGGTGGAGCCTAGACCAGGGAACGTCCAGGCTAAGATGTAAGTGGCCCTGGATCTTGGGTTATATGATCTTTTTATTCTGTCCATCAGCAGTGGGAAAAGATGCTCTGTGATGTTTCTGATAAGCCCCAATGAGAGAATCATAAGGCAGATCCCTGGGCTTCTGGAGCAAGGTCATGCCATCTTCAGGAGAGTATCCTACACCAACTAAAAAAGAAAGTAGCTGAAGCCCAGTTCAGATATGCTGGCTCAGTGCAGCTCTGCTTGTGAGTGTCTTGAAAGAGAATGAGGAGAGTAAGCTCTCCAGTTCAGCAGAATTTTGGGTGCTTTATTAGTTACTTTGTGTAGAAAAAGTAGTGTCCTTTTGTTAGGATTGCATTGACACATGTGTACTGGTGGGAGGCCAGGATATTTAATTGGAGGCAGGATGGATGGCTAGGGAATGGTCAGTTGATGGACTTATGGAAGTGGGTACTGACTGACTGCTATTGTCCTTGCATGGAATTCCCATCAGAAAGGAGTATCACTAAACAACCTAGACAGAATTGCATGGACAGTTGATGTGTGCCAGCTTTGTCATTACCCACTCCAGTGCCAACGTAAGGCACAAGTATGGAGGAGGTGGGGAGCAGCAATGGAGGCTGTGTGTGGGCCTGCAGGATCGGCTCCTTCTCATTAAGCCTGATCTATCTCCTGCTGCTGCTGAATGTCCCATGTACCAGCAGGAAGTTAACCCTGAGCTTCCAAAAGAGCACCTCCCTCAAGAAGAGGAGCCGGACACTTGAAGCTGACTACATTGTCCCTCTCTAATATTCACAGTAACTTACACATTCTGAACAGGGGTTCCTCTTCCTTCACACCAGGGCTTCGGTCAACATTATTATTTAAGGCGTTCAGTAGTTTCTGATTCACCAGTAATGAATCTACATGACATCAATCCAAAGAACTTACTTTGTAACAAAGGAAATACAGCGATGGTTAAAGGATGGGATGTATGGGACCTAACATGAACTGCACCATCCAGAAACTGCTGACCTAATGGAATGATAGAAGAGCTATTGAAAGTTCAGCAAATGCACAAGGGAGCACTGTCCTTCAGGTAAATATACTGGATATGGTTTTGTTGTGTCCCCACACAAATCTTATCTTGAATAACCACGGGTTGTGGATGGACCCGGTGGGAGGTAATTGAATCATGGAAGCAGGACTTTCCTGTGCTGATCCTGTGATAGTAAGTCTCATAAGATCTGATGGTTATTATAATGGGGAGTTTTCCTGCACAAGCTCTCTCTTTGCCTGCTGCCAGCCATGTAAGTCCTGACTTGCTCCTAATTGCCTTCTGCCATGACTGTGAGGCTTCCCCAGTCACATGGAACTGTAAATCCTATTAAACCTCTTTCTTTTGTAAGTTGCCCAGTCTCAGATATGTCTTTATCAGCAGCATTAAAACGAACTAACACAGTAAATTGGTACCAGTAGAGTGAGGCATTGCTGAAAAGATAACAAAAAATGTGCAAGTGACTTTGGAACTGGGTAACAGGCAGATGTTGTAACAGTTTGGAGAGCTCAGAAGAAGACAGGAAAATGTGGGAAAGTTTGGAACTTCCTAGAGACTTGTTGAATGGTTTTGACAAAAAGCCTGATAGCAATATGGACAATAAAGTCCAGGCTGAGGTGGTCTCAGATGGAGGGGAGGAACCTGTGGGAAACTGGAGCAAAGGTGACTCTTATTACGTTTTAGCAAAGACACTGGCAGCATTTGCCCCTGTCCTAGAGATTTGTGGAACTTTTAACTTGGGAGAGATGATTTAGGGTATCTGGCAGAATAAATTTCTAAGCAGCAAAGCATTCAAGACGTGACTTGGGTGCTGTTAAAGGCATTCAGTTTTATAAGGGAAGCAGAGCATAAAAATTTGGAAAATTTGCAGCCTGACAATGTGATAGAAAAGAAAAACCCATTTTCTGAGGAGAAATTGAAGCTGGCTGCAGAAATTTACATAAGTAATGAGGACCTGAATGTTAATCCCCAAGACAATGGGGAAAATGTCTCCAAAGCATGTCAGAGGTCTTAACAGCAGCCCCTACCATCACAGGCCTGAAGGCCTAGGAGAAAATGGTTTTTCGGGCCAGGCCCAGGGTCCCTGTGCTGTGTGCAGTCTAGGTACTTGGTGCCCTGCATCCTAGCCACTCCAGACATGACTAAAAGGGGCCAAGGTACAGCTCAGGCTGTTGCTTCAGAGGGTGGAAGCTGCAAGCCTTGGCGGCTTCCAAATGGTATTGAACCTGCGGGTTCACAGAAGTCAAGAATTAAGGTTTGGGAACCTCCGCCTAGATTTCAGAAAATGTATGGAAATGCCTGGATGCCCAGGCAGAATTTTGCTGCAGGAGTGGGGCCCTCATGGAGAACCTCTGCTAGGGCAGTGCAGAAGGGAAATGTGAGGTCAGAGCCCCCACACAGAGCCCCTACTGGGGCACCACCTAGTGGAGCTGTGAAAAGAGGGACACTGTCCTCCAGACCCCAGAATGGTAGATCCACTGAGAGCTTGCACCATGCACTTGGAAAAGCCACAGACACTGAACACCAGACCATGAAAGCAGCCAGGAGGGTGGCTGTACCCTACAAAGCCACAGGGGTGAAGTTGGCCAAGACCACAGGAACCCACCTCTTGCATCAGCATGACTTGGATGTGAGACATGGTGTCAAAGGACATTATTTTGGAGCTTTAAGATTTGACTGCCCCACTGGATTTTGGACTTGCACGGGGCTTGTAACCCCTTTGTTTGGGCCAATGTCTCTCATTTGGATTTGCTGTATTTATCCAATGCCTGTACTGCCAATGTTTCTAGGAAGTAACTAACTTGCTTTTGATTTTACAGGCTCATAGGTGGAAGGGACTTGCCTTTTCTTGGATGAGACTTTGGACTGTGGACTTTTGAGTTAATGCTGAAATGAGTTAAGACTTTGGGGGACTGTTGGGAAGGCGTGATTGGGTTTGAAATGTGAGAGCATGAGATTTGGGAGGGGCCAGGGTTGGAATGATATGGTTTGGCTCTGTCCCCACCTAAATCTCATCTTGAATTCCCACATGTCATGGGAGGGACCCAGTGGGAGGTAATTGAATCATGGGGGCAGGTCTTTCCCGTGCTGTTCTCACAATAGTGAGTAAGTCACATGAGATCTGATGGTATTTATAACGGGGAATTTTCCTGTACCAGCTCTCTTTTTGCCTGCTGCCATCCATGTAAGACATGACTTGCGCCTCTTCACCTTCCGCCACAATTGTGAAGCTTCCTCAGCCATGTGGAGCTGTAAGTCCAATTAAACCTCTTTCTTTTGTAAATTGCCAGTCTTGGGTGTGTCTTTATCAGCAGCGTGAAAATGGACTAATGCAATACTCATTAAATTAATAATCACCAGCCAGGTGTGGTGGCTCACACCTGAAATCCCAGCAATTTGGGAGGCCGAGGCGGGCAGATCACGAGTTCAGGAGATCGAGACCATCCTGACTAACATAGTGAAACCCCATCTTTACTAAAAATACAAAAAATTAGCCGGGTGTGGTGGTGGGTGCCTGTAGTCCCAGCTACTTGGAAGGCTGAGGCAGGAGAATCACTTGAACCCGGGAGATGGAGGTTGCAGTGAGCTGAGATTGCGCCACTGCCCTCCAGCCTGGGTTACAGAGCGATTCTCTGTCTCAATTAAAAAAAAAAAAAAAGGATGAAAGAAAAAATGTGAGAGTCTGAAAAGGATTTTCTCTATTCAAAAGTGAGTGTAAATTATTACAGAGCATCCAGTGGTTTTGTAAAATTAGAATTAAATGTATTAAATATATTTTAATGTAACCCTACTATTTCAAAATATCAATTATTCATTCAATATCCATGAAGAATCCACATATTCCTGAAGTCACCTGTCTGTTCAGTCATTGCTGTCAAATCCTGGATTCCTTCTTAAGATCATCCCATGAATCTTGCCCATGTTATTATTGAGTAGTATACACAAGCTACTATTGATTCTCCATTAAAAACAAAAACATATTTAAAAAGCTTTCAATTTTAACAAATACATAATTCAGATAAGCATATATTTTTATTTCTCATTTTGCTTGAGGATATTGCTGTATGTTCAGCTTTCCTATATTATGATAAAACAGATATATGAATTCTTTCATTTCACTTTTCTAATTTACAATCATGCTACATTGAAAGAACTTCTAGTAGAAAAGGGGAGGCTATTAAGGTAGCAACCTTCCAATAAGCGCTAAAGCTTGTGTGCTGTTAAAAGATTTTCCGCATTTACTCTTCCCACAGCAAAACGGCTGCCAAGCGTTCTTGGGAGAATACACAGAAGAAAAAGTTAATTTCTATGTCTTCTAGTTTCAAGACAGAGAGAGCAGTGTCAGAAAAGTATTTTCTGGATCACCCACTGACCCCCGGGTGTTTTATGTTTGTTTATTTTTTCCCCATCCAAGCTGGGAACACAGCTAAGTGGAGCAGCATGATCCTGTTCCTAGGGAGACCAAGCCTGCCTTCCTCTGGGTGTTACTGTTGTGGTGGAAATTGGGGAGTTAGGAAACAGTGGAGCGCTTGTACAGTTGACCCCTATGTATTTGCAAGTTAGAAATGAAATCATTTATTCCAATGATACTGACAGAGGACGTGAAATGAAAAAAGGCAATAAACAATAAATTACCTGAAATTGTTCAGTCCACTTCCTCAGGGGCAACGCGATGTTCAGGGAGTGGGACTGGGGAGTGAGAGAAGGTGACACTGGGAAGGGTGAGTCAACTATGCATGCTCCCGGACTGTCTTAGAGGCCACTGTAAGCATCTGTTTCAGCTATCTGTTGTGGCTAACCAACCATCCCGCACTTTATTATACTTGAACAATTTATTATCATCTCTCATAGTTATCTGGGTTGGCTGCAGTTCTTATTTGAGGTTTCAGATGCAGGTGCAGATGGAGGTTGGCCAAGACTCAGTCATCCAAAGCCTGCCTCAGTCCAGGCAGGTGCGCTCACACCACGGGCAGTTGGCACTGGCTGACGTTGCAGAACTCTCCTGGGGCCGTGGACTCAGAGCACCTACAGTTGACTTCTCCACATGGGTTGGGCCTCTCATGGCAAGGGTACCATGTTCCAAGCAGAGTTTCCCTAGGATGAGCAGTCAAAAGAGAAGATACTAGGATTTGACTCCTTAAGATGTATCCTCAGAAGTCACACGACAGCACGTCTGCGGCATCATCGCAGTCACAGACTCCACACAGATGCAAGGTAGTTCAGACGCACACTGCATCTTTCCACGGGTTAGTGGCGAGTTACATTACAAAAGAGTATGTCAGATGGCAGATATTCTTGCAGGAGGCTTTTGAAAATACAATCTCCTATAGAATTTTAAAATTATGAATTGTGATAATTACAAATCATGGGCAGAATATTGAGAAAGAAAGGATATAAATCCAATTAGGTAAGAAATTGTAGCTTAGCAAAATGAAAGCATTTTTTAAAAATTATCAATTATAATTATCATAATGATCAATAATGGCAGGTTTCTGTGAAATATCCAACCCCCTTGTGGGTAATATTGCAGCATGCATTGCATACTGGTTGTTACTGCATTCTAATAACCTGGAAGACCGAAAGCATTTGGGATTTTTTCACAGTGAAATTATATGTTACCATAACATGCTAAAATCCCTCTTGCTAATTCTGTTGATAAAATTCTAGTCCTTGCATTGAAATTATAACTTCCTATCAAGGAAAACTCGTTTTACCACCTTCAAAAATTCACATTTTCCTGCTGAGGCTTTACCTGTGTCTAATATTGTTAAAGACAGCTCCGTTTATCCTGTAGTGTTGGTGAATCCAATACAAACTTTTCCTTGTAATTATGGGGAAGATGGGCAAAGAAGGAGATACACGGATAACGGCTTCTTTAGCTCCCAGCTCAGTTACCTTCCCTGAACTATCTCTGGCCCACAAGATGGGCCCTGTGGTGGCAATGACCGTATTGCTATGTTTTAAAATATTAAGTGTCCCCAAGGGCAGAAGAGGTGCAATGAAATGGTTCAGGCTATATTGAAAAATAGTCATGCTGAAAATGATGCTCCTTGACTTTAGGTTTGGTGGATATCATCCTGCCCTGTTTTAAGGTGGCAAGCAACCAGAGTGTCAGAAAGTTAACTGTTATGATAAATTCTCCATTATCTTGTGTTTTTTCTATTTCAGATTTCACAGTGGCAATACTATGCTTGATTTAAATCTAAATATATCCAAAATTTGATTTATATCCAAGAGATATTAAAGTGATTATTTTCTGAAACAATTCAGCCATATCTTCTAAAATAAGCTAAAATATACATTGATTGCAGGTATAAGAAAATGGTCTATTCTATGTCACTTAAAATGTTTCTACTGTCAAATATTGGAAACTATCTTAGCCTCTTTTAAGTAGTAATAAATTTTCAGCTCCTGTGACTGAATGCTCCAGGTGAGGCTGAAATGATATGAGCAAGAATTGGGTCTCTTATCTCTAGTGCCTTCTATATTTGCTTCATTATCAGCAAATTTTGTGATTCAAGGCTCATTAGAATGCATAGAAAGCACAGGGGAAAATTCATAATGGCTGAAGTTAGGTTACCAGTTAAAATACATGACATCCATCCAGCTCATCCAGCTAAATATGATTTTTTTCTTGAGATGGAGTCTCCATCTGTCACCCAGGCTGTAGGGCAGTGGCGTGATCTCAGCTGTAACCTCTACCTTTTGGACTCAAGCGATTCTCGTGCCTCAGCCTCCCAAGTAGCTGAGATTACAGGCATGTGTCACCATTCCTGGCTAATTTTTGAAATTTTAGTAGAGATGGGGTTTCACCATCTTGACCAGGCTTATCTCAAACTCCTGTCCTCAAGTGATTCGCCCACCTCAGCCTCACAAAGTGCTGGGATTACAGTCATGAGCCACCACTCCTGGCCCTAAATATGAATTTCTAATAAACACCAAATAATTTTTTAGAATAAGTAAGCCCCAAATATTTCATGAGACATACTAAAAATATTCATTTTAATATAAAATTCAAAATTCACAAATGTATTTTAAATTAAATTTTTTATATGAATTTAAAATTTCACAAATTTAACAGGGCACCCTTTCTTTTTATTAGCTAAATTTGGCAGCCCTAGCTAAAATAACCGTTTCAAATCTGTAAGTTGTTTTTTAATGGTGGTGAAACAATTGATAAACTATGTAAGTAAAAGTATACATTTTTATCTTCTATCATATATCAAAGTAAATTCCACAGATTACTAAATTATATGTAACAAATAAAACAATACTTAGAAGGAAATATACAGAGGAATATGTCTGTATCTTGTAACGGGGAATAGCTGTACAGGAACAAATTCAAAGAAATAAATGCTTTCTAAAAATGTAAACACTTCTATTGTTGGAAAACAAAAAAGCAAACCACAAACGATGAGAAAAATACTAGCATCATGAGACATTTAAAGGGCTAATCATTTTATTAAGTAAATTTTCTCAGTAAGAAATAGGTGAATATACTAATTTTAAAAAGTAAGCAAAAATACTGTTTAGGGCTCTTCAAAGAAACAAAACCAATAGATTTATTGAACCAATAGGAGATCTCCTTGATCTATATATCTATATCTATGTAGTGAAATCTACAGCTATCCATCATTTATCCATTTGCATAAATATAGAGAGAAATGTTTATTTTAAGGAACTGATTCACAGAATTGTAGGGGCTGGCAAATCTGAAATCTGTAGAGCAGCCTGTCAGGCTGAAGACTCAGGGAGGAGTTGATGCTGCAGCTTTGAATCTGGTGTTTGCGGGCTGGAAACTCAGGTAGGGTTGCAGTTCTGAAGCAGCTTTGAATCTGGTGTTTGCAGGCTGGAAACTCAGACAGGGTTGCAGTTTTGAAGCAGAATCACCCCTTCTTTGGAAAACCTCAGGGTTTTCTATAAAGGGCCTTTTCAAGAGATTGAAGTCCACCCACATTATGGAAGGTAATCAACTTTGCTCAAATTCTGTGTATTTAAATGTCAATTTCATCTTACAAATACCCTCACAGCAACATCTAGACTGGTGTTTGCCCTCATAACTGGGTACCATTGCCTCATCAGTTGACACATAAAATGAAGCATCACAGATACAAACAGGAAATTTTAAAAAAGGAAATATAAACTTAAGCCAAAAAATTATTCAACCTTGCTAATGGTAAAATACAGAAATTAAAGTAAAAGCTCAATATAACAACTCAACAATTTCTTACGTTAGTATAGGTCTATAGTGTCATCATCTCTTCTCTTTGGACACAGAGATATCTTTAAAAGATACACCTCATGCTTGAAAACCAAAAAGTACCCATTTTAAGGTTCCTAATGTCAAACTTGTTAAATGTCTACAGTGCATGATTCAGCTTTAATTTTTTGCTTAATATATATAATCTTATAACATTTACATGACTTGTATATACATTATTTTATAATATTTTTCTATATTCAATGTAGCATATATTTGGCATCATTTTCTTTACTACATGGAATAGTAAGGGGCAAACTATCTCTAAAACATTTTAGACTAGACAATCTCGAAGTTCCCTTTAATCTCTAAAGTTAAATCAAGTCGAGCAGGGTGGCTCACACCTGTAATCCCAGTACTTTGGGAGGCCCAGGCAGGAAGATTGTTTGAGGCTAGAAGTTTAAGACCAGCCTCAGCTACAAAGCAAGACCCCATCTCTACCAAAAATAAAAAAATTAAAAATTAGCCAGGCCTGGTGGCATGTGCCTGTATTCCCAGATACTTTGAGGGCTGAGGTGGAAGGATCACTTGAGCCCAGTTGGTCTAGGCTGTAGTGAGCCATGATTGTGCCACCGCACTCCAGCCTAGGTAACAGAGTGAGATCTTGTCTCTAAAAAATAAAAACTAAATTAATTAATTTAATTAAATCAAAATACAGATAAGTTCAGTGATTTAAATTTAAGATAATATAATTAACTTAATGATTTGCCTATGTTTAAATACATAATAAAGTGTGCATCAGGTAAAAAGGTGCTTTGTTTAGTGGAATTTAATTTCAATAACTGCTGAATCAGAATATACATTTACCTTACTTTAAGCTGACCTCATCCATAAATATATAGATTATGCTATAGATGTATAAAGACAAATTGGGTAAGAAATAGAGGTAGGCTGCTAGGCGATGTTTCCCTTGAAATAGTGAACTTCACTGGTTATTTAAAAATAACATTTTTTGGAATTTGTTTTGAAATTAGTGAACTAAATTTTAGTAAATAGTACACTTAAAAAATTGTATGAGACGCAGTGTGATTGGTATGAGACATAAAGCATCTTTCCTTCTTCCAAAGTCTTTATCTTTACTCCTTATGGTATTTGCTATTTTAAGGCTACTGTAAGCAAAGAAAAATTGAAAATTGAAATTATTAAAAATAATAGTAATAATAGTAATTTTTAAGGAGTTCTCTTAGAAGAGTCTTGCCTGTGGGGGAAATCGGGAAGGAAGGCCAGAAGCCTTTCGAGATGAAACCTGTGGTGGAATGAGGAGCGTAAGAAAGTTTCTGAAAGTACTGCTAAGCTGTTTTGCTTAAGAACACAAAAATAAGTTATATTTGTTCTGTATTCACCAGGCTCTATTTTCCATAAATGCAATAAATTTAATAAATGCCCCATAAGGCATCTCAAAGACACTTTTGACAATAGTTCATATTATATAGTGTAAAGGCAGGCAGCAGTTGGGACAATATTATACCACAAATTAAATGTCAGTGAATGCTAGCATTACAACATCAATGCTGCAAGCCAAATAAAATCAATGTTTGGATACTAAGAGTGTGTATTTGCATGTTATTTGTGTTGTTAACATTTATCTTCAGTATAACCAACGATAAAGTATTCTCCATGGAAAGTCCAATATATTTGTTTTTAGTGTTCCATAAACCTTATTTATTTAAAATTCTGGGCTTTACATGTCTTGATTCCCTGAGGTTTTATTATTTAGCCTCTGTGTTGTTTCATTATAATCCAGAGACAGGTGTTTCTAAACTAGGAAACTTCCATCAAAGTGGCAGACGCTGATTACATGTACAGTTACATCAGGGCAAGCTAGCTATGCAAACACCACAGCCAAGTATCAGCAACTGGCCTAAGCAACTGGCCTAAAGGTTAATTTGAAAAAAGGAAGAAAGGGAGGGAGGAGGAAGGAGGAAAGGAAGGGGGAAGGGAAGACGGATAAAGGAAATATGTTGAGTGCTAAGCAATAGTTGCTATCTAAAAAAACACTTGCACTTTTCATACTTTTTCTGTAAGCTCTATACCGTCTTGAAAATTACAGGCAATACAGGCTCATTTAAAAACAAATGATCGAGGCAGGAGGATTGCTTGAGCCCAGGAGTTCTCTGCAAAAAAATACAAAAAAATAGCCAGGTAAGGTGGCTCATGCCTGTAATCCCAGCACTTTGGGAGGCGGAGACTGGCCGATTGCTTGAACTGCAGAGATCCAGGCCAGCCTGAGCAACATAGCAAGACCCTGTCTCTAAAAGAAAATACAGAAATTAGCTGGGTGACACGCACCTGTAATCCCAGCTACTTGGGAGGCTGGGGTGGGAGGCTTGAGCCAGGGGGTGGAGGCTGCAGTGAGCCCAGATCGCGCCTGCACTCCAGCCTGGGAGACAGAGAGAGGAGAGAGCGTATGATTCCTGTACAAGTCATATCTTAGAGGCTTCTCTCGGGAAGAAGCAGGACACGCCCGGAGGATGAAAGCGAAGCAGGGAGATTGTCTCAGCTCCTGCAGGACCCAGTTGGAAGCCCCCGGGACACGGAAGCACAACTGAAGCCACAGCGCGAGCCTGTTGTACCCCCAGGTTATGCACAGAGGGCGGATGGGGCAGAAAAGGCTGGGTGTGGGTGAGGGGTCAGCAGTCCAGAGCGTCCCGCAGCCCTGAGGGTCCCCCAGCCCTGAAGGTCCCACAGCCCAGAGCGTCCCCCAGTCCAGAGCGTCCCGCAGCCCTGAGGGTCCCCCAGTCCAGAGTGTCCCCCAGTCCCGAGGGTCCCGCAGACCAGAGCGTCCCGCAACCCTGAGGGTCCCCCAGCCCAGAGTGTCCCCCAGTCCAGAGTGTCCCGCAACCCTGAGGGTCCCCCAGTCCAGAGCGTCCCGCAACCCTGAGGGTCCCCCAGTCCAGAGTGTCCCCCAGTCCAGAGTGTCCCGCAGACCAGAGCGTCCCGCAGCCCTGAGGGTCCCCCAGTCCAGAGTGTCCCCCAGTCCCGAGGGTCCCGCAGACCAGAGCGTCCCGCAACCCTGAGGGTCCCCCAGTCCAGAGTGTCCCCCAGCCCAGAGTGTCCCGCAGACCAGAGCGTCCCGCAGCCCTGAGGGTCCCCCAGCCCAGAGTGTCCCCCAGTCCAGAGTGTCCCGCAGACCAGAGTGTCCCGCAGCCCTGAGGGTCCCCCAGTCCAGAGTGTCCCCCAGTCCAGAGTGTCCCCCAGTCCAGAGTGTCCCGCAGACCAGAGGGTCCCGCAGCCCAGAGGGTCCCCTCGGGATAACGGGGGCAGCTGTAAATTGCCAGCCAACTCACAGCAGCAGGAGGGCAGAGGGGCTGGGGCTGGCCCAGCAAGGGCCACCGTCTCACCCTATTCACGTGACACTGGATGACAGTGACTCTCAAATCCCACGTTGCCACAGTAGCAGGAAGTAAAATCTTTGAACCTCTATCTTTCTGCTTCCTCGCCTAGGCTAAATCATCCCAGGAGCATTTATCCAGTCCGAAGGTCTGTTGGACCAAAGCCTTCCTAGTTACACTGCTCAACTACAACATCGCCACCGGTCTCCTAAATTAAACCCTTTAGGGCTTAGCTTTTTCAACTCATGTTAGAACCTCCCCAGTCCTCCCCTCCAGGTGCCAGGTGTTTTAATCTGTCACGTTCAGTACCTGTACCTTAGAGTCTTCCTGACTCTGTCCAGCCACCGAGCCTTTTGAATCCTTCGAACATGCTTTCACATGAATTTTGACTGCACAGTCCTAGGAACATTGGATAATGCACATAGATATCTGCCTTCACTCACAGATAACAGCTCTCTCCTCTTTCTCCTCTGCCCTCTGTGTCCCACTCTCACTCTCTTCATATTTACTCTTCCCTGGAAAACTATGATCAGTAGATCAGATGATCAGTAGGAGGCAGTCAGGCTCTTTCTCAAAACCTCAGGGACACTGCAGCATGTTAATTGCCATTCCACATCCGAAGACTAAAAATTAATGGTTCACTTTTAAATAACAGTCTCTCGGTTTCTAAAATGCATTAGTCAATCATCAGTCAATCAGTCTATCCAACAGGTACTGCATTCTGAGTCTATACATGCTAGGTAGTGGTAAAATAATGAAGCTATCTGAATACTTTCCTTCACAGTGATCACTGTGAATTACACAATCATTTATTATAGGAATGCCACCATAATTCATCTTCTAGAATTGATTTTAGACCTAATTTATAACAACAAATCAATTTCACCAATGCATAAACATAAATATAATTTCCTTTAATTATAAAGGAGGGCATAAAATATGAATAAATAGACATCTTATTACCTCCTCCATTATTAAATTATCTTGGCATACATAGCGTCTATCATCAATGTATGCTGTTGATTAAAGGTGAAAATTAACAGAAGTACCGCTGTATCTTTGGAATTGCTTATAAAGTAGACAAACTTCTACAAAGACTGCCTAAGGAAAAAAAAAAGACACGAATAATTTGAATCAGAATACAAAAACCACAAACAATAGATTTCTTTAAACTATAAGAAAATATTATGAATGCAGATGCCAGTAAACTTTAAAATTTCAGTTAACAATAACACTTTCTAGAAAACATCAATTTCCATAATTGATTTATAAAAACAGAAAACCTAAATAAGGAAACAACTCTCATTAAAACAATGATTTAACTCCTATTCCCTAAAAAAACTTATTTTTTTCCTCAATTTAAACAAACCATAATCTTTATATCTTAAAAACTGTTAAAGAATAAAAGTGTTATCAGACTAAGCCTCTGTATTAAAACTGGGGAAAAGCAATTGAAGAACAATTTACAAGTAAGTCTCATTTAAGAGCTAAACTATTAGTATCTATAACTCAAGAATGTAGGAAAGAATTCACTGACTAAGTAGATTATATTTCAGAAACATAAGAAAAATTGAACATCAGAAAAATATATCAAAGTAATGTTTCACATTAAAATTTTTAAATGAGAGAAAAAGGCATATGATCATTTCAAAAGATAATAAATACACTTAGCTAACCAGGAAACAAGGGCATTTCTTTAAAAGCTTTCCTATTTAATTTAGCAAAAGAGTATTATGTCTTCCATTCAACATTCTACAAGAGGTAGGTAGCTACTAGATAGTTACTAGTCAATGTAATACAATGAGGAAAAGAAAAAATAATAATTAATGGAAAGGGAGAGACAACATTTTTTGATTATGATATTTTCATGTGAATAATCAAATTTTCTATACTTAAAAATCAATCGACCAAATATTTATATATTTTTTACTCAAACATTGGCAGTAGAATAATCAAATTGAATAATCAGATAAATATTAGAAATTATAAGAATGTACTGATAGATATAAGATTAATATATGAGAATTAGTGACATTTCCATATACTGTTAGAGAATGTAATTAGAAGCTATATTGGTAAAAGCATCTTATTAGTCATTACAAATAACAAGTCTGACACAAATGGATGATGTCTTTATGGAAAATATTTTAGGCATCATTGAAGACTATAAATAAGAGCTGAAAAAGTCTACAGATTTGCCACACTCATAAACATGAAGACTAACATGGAAAATATGTTAATTTCACCAATGTAATATACAATTTTATATATATTCACACATATACATTCCAAGATAATCTTAAGATCAAATGGAAAGTGGAAGATCAAACATAATTAAGACAATTTTGGATTAATAGGTTTCTCTTTCTACCTTGATGGTAAGACACTAAAATGCAGCAGTAATTTTTTTCAGTGTGGTATTTGCACAAGGATAAACAAATTATCGATGGAACAGAAAGGGAGCGTTTATGGTTACGTGATGCAATAGCGATGGCACTGAGATTGGGCAAGCAATTACTTTGTCATACTTAGTCATGCAGTGAAAAATAAAATCAGATTCTTACCGCACCATAGTGTAAAACCAATTCCATGTAGATTAAAGAAGGAAATGTGAGATGTGACATTACAAACATTTTAGAAAAAAATATTGGAGAATACTTTTGTGATCCTGGGTAGAAATGAGTATCTTTAAAAGGACTCTGAAAGCAAAAATTATAAGTAAAAGTCAGTATGTTTCATTTTCACAAATGAAAAGAAGAAGGGCTTTCTTTGGTAGAACATATTTGCCTCTTTTACAAATAGCAAATATTAGTATCCAGACAATCAACAGAAATGTCAATCTAAAATGACGTATGACTTCATAACCAGTAGGTTGGCAAACATTGACAATAACAAGTGACACCAAGTGTATGGAGAAAAAAGAAATCGCAAACTGTTCGTGGAAGTGTAAATTGACACAAAACCTTTGGAGAGCAATCAAGACATTTGTGTTAAAGTAAAAATGTTTATATCCTACAATTCAGTAGTAATCTAACAATTCTATTTCCAGAGTTTTCCTTAAAGGAACTCTAAATATGGTCAAGAGAACACATATTGTAACATTGTTTGTACTGGTGAAAATTGAGTGGCTTAATGTACATAAAAGTAGAAAAGTTTTCAAAACAAAGTTGAATAGTAAAAATGATCACCAACTCCATTTTTACATTGTCAGAAACAAACGCCGACCATTAGCAGCATTTTGTAAGTCCGAGGCAGTGCACATAGACTTTTACAGAGAACGATCATGTTATAAACCACCAGTGTGAAAATATCCTTCAATTTGGAAGAAAATTATTTTTTCCAAGGGACCTTAAGAGCTTTCTATAGTAATGTCAATGTCCATAGGATTGAAAGTACACAATATAACTGCCAGGTTGACTTTTTTAGACCAAAAAACAGAGAGAAAAAAAAAACTGAAGCATTGAATACTGTTGGAATGTAGATATTTTACCGTTCATATAATCCAAGTGTGTTGAGGAAACATACATTTTAAGAAGAAAACTTTATATTTTCTATTTTATTAAACTGAAAGTAATTCTCAAACCATAGGGAATAGCCCACTGAAATCCAATACAGACAATGTGATTTATAGTAACCCGTTTTAAAGAATGGGAGAATCAAGGTAATTTGTTATATCAAATTTTACCTCAAATGTCAATTTGTCAGGAATTTCACCTCAAGTACCAATTCGTTAGGGACTCTTTTTAAAAAATGATTGCTAATAGCACAAGGTACTTCTCTATAGCACTGTCCACATAGGCAGTTTTTTGTACAACTATGTAATTAATGTCGCTATCTCCCCAGCCTCTGTGTTCCATGTTGGTTTTGACAGTGTCTGTATTTGTTCACCATTGAAGCTTCAATTATTGTGTCCCACAGAGCTTGCAATATGTAAGACATTTTATAAGCTATTTGCATATATTATCTCATTTAAACATCACAATGATCTTGTCAGGTTAAGTACTATTATGTATCCCCTTTTATAGATGAGGAAATGGAGGCGAGAAGTTAAATACTTTGTCCCAGGCCATGCACTTCCTAAATGGCGAAGTCAGGGTTTAAATTCAGGCAACAGGAGTTGCCCTTGAAGAAGCAATTGCTGGAAAATTTTCTCTCTTATTAGGAAAAAGAATAATAACAATAGAACGGGATAAAATCTATAAAACAACAGTTTTTAGACATGGACAATGAGCAACACAAGGCTACTGACTAATTGAAGGAAAGCAAGCAAGGTGGTCTCAACCATCAAGCAAGCTTTTTTGCCTGGACACTATTTCCAGATTGCAGCATGGGGAGGGTCAGTTCAAGAACAGTCCAGCAGATTTGCTAAATTACAGAGGCAGGGGTCCAAGGCTCAGGGGTCCAAGGCTAAAATGTATGGGGCCTAGGACCAGAAAACAAAAGGAAGGAAGCTAAATACAGAAAGACTCCTAGATCACTCTATGGGGGTCTTCTCAAGTCTTTGATTGGTTACCTGAATATCAATCTGCACAGGCTTGGGATAAAATCCAACGAAATTTGAAAAAAATAAAAAGTTACTGCAAGAAAAGTACAATTACCTAGAAGCTCAAGATGAACCATTGGGAAGACTCACATTAGGAATGGGAATCATTCCATTTCTCACCTGCTGGAAAGGTGCCCTGCTGAAAGTCTCTGGCTGACGTGGAGACCCTAGACACATCACGTTTTAGCTGTGGAGCTGACTTAGTTCTAGAGACTATTCCAGACTTAGTCTTCAATTAAAAACAAAACATTACAAAACAAAATGAAAAAACAGCCTAGGTAACTGCAAGTAACTTACATCTTTATAACTTATCCAAAACTCTTTTTTAAAAACTCAACAACCACTCAACAATGTAAATTCCATAATGTCTAGCATCCGGTCAATAATTATCAGTCATCCAGGGAAACAGGACAATATGGCTACCTTTTCAAAAATATTTAACAGAAACAAATCTGGAAATGACAAGATGAGGAATTAGTAAACAAGAATTTTTCTAAAACTCATTTTTAAAGACTTAAAGGAAAACATGAACAAATGAAAAGATTAAAAGGAGTTATTAAAAAAATCATGAGATCTGCTGGGATGAAAAATATAATAGCTGAAATAAAAAGTTTACATAAAATGAATACCAAATAGATATTGCAGGAAAAAAGAAGATCTTGACACGTTGATATATTAATACAAACAGTGCAAAATAAGGCACAGAGAGACAAAAATACTGAACAAAAATGTGCAAAACCTAAATGACCTGTAGTTTAATATTAGCAACTTACGATAACTGAAGTTCCAGAAAGAGATAAAAATACTTGAGAATTAGCATAGAAGAATATACAAATTAGAAAAAATATTTAAGATATATAGAAATATTTACACATTTGATAATGGTATAAAGCTACAGGTCCAAGAAGTCCATGGAATGTCATTGAGTATAAACACAAGTAAAACCACATCAAAGATTATGTAAAAAATTGCTGGGAATACAGATATAAAGACAAAATCTTGAAATCATAGATGAAAAGGAAGAAAGATTTTTAAATAATAGTAGTTGCTTCATCAGAAAAAAATTAAGCCAGAAAAAGACGGAGCAACATGTTCCCAGTGCTGGGGGGACAAAAAAGGTCAATATAGGATTTTTTCAGCATGACAGAAAAAAATCCTTCAACATTTGGAAATTAAACAACATTAATTCTCATTAACTATTCAGCATATGGAAATGTGTAGAGGGCAGCAAATCCAAGCAGGACAGCTCCAGAGCACCTTCTCTGAACCACTGTCCACATCTCATTTGATCTATCAGTACTGTGAGACTAGCAGGTAAGAGGCTAGTACCCTCATCTGCACGGAAGGAATCTGAAACCTGAAGGAACCTGCAATTCTGATGACTGTCCTAAGTGGTAGAACTAAAACAACTCCGTATTCTCAGTCCACGTCTATCCCTCTTGGCACTTCACTGAGTCCTCTTACAAGAGATCTGCAGGCTCAAATATCTAACCAATATGTACATAATATTAGCATATATTACAGATATATGCTTAAATATGCAAAAATTATCTCTCAAAGGTTACACAAGCAACTGATGAAGCAGGGGAGTGTGTTTCTCTCCAAAGCAAAAACAACGAAGTGGCTGGATGCTGTAGGGAAGGGAGGTTTCTTTACACTGGCTTGTATCTTTTAAATTAGGCATCGTCTCAAATGTTTCTATTTTTAAAAATAGGAAAATTTAACTAAATCATAAATATAAAAAGAAGTAGTTGCCTATAATTGTATTTATATTTTAAATTTTATTTGAATTTTGTTGTAAAAAAGAATCTTATACATGCAAATATATAAAAACATTATTTCACCACTCTTCATATTAGTTCAGTTATTTTGTTCAGTTTATGAATATTTTAAGTGATTAGCTAACCTTATGCTTGAAATTTTGTTATTATTTACCTTCTAGCATGTGGATTACTCCATTTTGCTGCTTTTTCATATATATTGTTTCTAATGGTTATATCTTACTGTTCTGTAGACTTGTACTGCAGCATAGTTTGCAGTTATTCCAAATGTTGAATGTTTCATCTGTTCATAATTTTTGACTCTGTGAATAATTAACACATTTGTGCAATAAAAGCCCTTAATGCATAAAACTTTGTTTGCAGGTTTACCATTAATAAATCCCTATGAGTATAATTGCTATGTGAAAGTATCTGAACTTCTTTTTTTAAGGCTAGATTACATCCCTCTAACCTGCAGTAAATGTCCCCCATTTTAACAATCACCTTGTTTTCTGTCTTCCCAGAAGTGTCTCTGGGAAGTGTGTGTCTTCTTTTCTGACCTTCCTTGGTGCCCAGCAGGTGGTAGTGGCAGATTTTACCAAATAGATTTCGCCAAAATGGAAAATTTTCCCACTCTGCCTTGCAGTGGCTGGGAATATCAATTTCGGTTTAAATTTCTTAGGTTGAAAATTTTATTATTTCGACTTTTTCATTTTGATTTTTATGTTTTTATGATTGTATTATTTTGCTAGTTGACTAGATGAATATCATACCTTTTTTGGATGTTGAGTGAGTCTGAACCTGCCCAGTACCCCTCCTTGTTACTCGGAGGCTTTCACTTTTCCCTCATTCCCAAATTGTCTGTCCATCGCCTTTGATGTTATTTCATCCACTGGAATGTACTCGTCATATATTAAAGATTCTAATCCTTTGATTTTCATATTTTTTGGAGATATGTCCTCAATTGATAACCACTTTTAAGCTTCTATTTAATTTAAAAGACATTAATGTTCATTCTTATGCCAGTGTTCAAACAATACTACTTCAAAGACATATATGTCATGGGCTGAAGAACTATCAGTAGAGAGCAGATAAATGTAGACATAATATGGTGGGCTGGGCACAGTGCCTCACACTTGTAATCCGAGCACTTTCGGAGGCTGAAGCAAGATAATTGCTTGAGCACAGGAGTTTGAGACCAGCCGGGGTAACATAGTAAGATTACGTCTCTACAAAAAAAAAAAAAATTATCTGGGCATGGTGCACACCTGTAATTACAGCTACCCAGAGGCTGAGATAGGAGGATCACCTGAGCCCAGGAATTTGAGGCTGCAGTCAGCGGTGATAGTGCCATTGCATTCCAGCCTGGGTGACAGAGCCAAGAACCAGTTTTAAAAAATAAAATAAAAAATAAGATGATGGCTATCTTTTCCACCTCATTGCACAGCACAATATTCCTCTCACCAGACCAATTAATTGCTCTTGCTAAATTATTTTTACACATATTTAATGGCTTTTCAACAGAAATAAGAGAGACTTACTGGTTAAGACAGTGAAGTTAAGTCAAATAAAAATCCCTCCTTCCCTAAAATATAATAAATTTGGGCTAAATTCATTTTTTATAAATAAGAAAAATGCCAATAATAAATAAAATAAACAGTCCAATCTCATAAAAAATTGAAAGTGTGGCCAAAGAAGTAAAAGACAAAAAGACCAAGAATCAAAGTAACCCAGTATAGACCATGTGTCTCCTAACTCTGGGGGACTGCCTGCCATGCTCCTAGTCCATGACAATGACAATAACCAGAAGCAATCAAATCAGACCTGGGGATCCCTGGTGTGCTCTTCACCTTGGACACTTGAACCCTCTAGATATATATTCTTAAGTGAAAAGAACACACTGTGTATATCAAAATAAGAAAAAGAAATATAATTATCAGATCAGATAGAAAAAATAGAAGTAAAATATATGAAATAAAGGAAGCTTTATTCACATTATGTTACAAAATAAAAGAGCTCTCCACGTTAAACATTTAAGAAATGAAGTGAAGTGAGAAGCAGACAAAAATTCCATAAGGAATGAAATAAAGAAAGGAAAAAGTATGGTCAAATAAAGATGAAAAATCCATTCTGGAAAAGAGCAAAACCAAGAAGGGAAAATAATCTTCCCTTGAGCGTGTTTTTTTTTTCGGTATAGATGGAATATAGGAGGTAATAAATTTGGCAGAAAAAGATATGGAGCTTGTGATGACATAAAAACATGGGGGAAAAGGGAAATTATGGTGCTAGGAACCGAGGCAGGAAAATATCATTACAGAAATACCTAAAAATCATGTTTACAAAGGAAAAAAATAGGAGTAGTTTGATAATGAGTTATCCACATTTTTGTTCTAAAAGCAGTATTTTATAACTACAAGTTATTTTGTTATATAAAAGCTTTCTAACAACAAAGTGACATATGTTAGAATTTTACTAGTTTAGCTTCATGCCTGGTGGTGCCAAAAAGAACTCCCTCCTATACTTCTTTTTTTTTTTTTTTTTTTTTTTTTTTTTTTTGTGACGGAGTCTTGCTTTGTTGCCAGGCTGGAGTGCAGTGGCACGACCTCAGCTCACTGCAACCTCTACCTCCCGGTTTCAAGCAGTTCTCCTGCCTCAGCCTCCCGAGTAGCTGGGATTACAGGCACATGCCACCACACCCGGCTATTTTGCATTTTTAGTAGAGACAGGGTTTCACCATGTGGGCTGGTTTTGAACTCCTGACCTCAAGTGATCCACACACCTCGGCCTCCCAAAGTGCTGGGATTACAGGTGTGAGCCACCATGCCCAGCCTCCCTCCTATACTTCTATAGAAAAAGTGACTTAAACTGGTTGGGGCTCATAACTTTTCAATTGACTTAGTCCTAAAGATAGATAAACTAAAAATAGTTTTAACACCTAGACAATACATATTCTAGCTTCTATTTGCCACAACACTAAGGAATCAATATTTCATCATAACTGGATGAGCTAGCTTCAATGGTCCATAAGTAGTTTAATCTGTAACCACTGCCTTTATTTACTGAGTTATAGCTGTTTTTATTGACTTGTGTTTCAGTTGCATTTAGGTCAAAAATCATATTTTAAAAATGGTTGAAAATGTTTTCTAAGATCTACTATATAACTTCTGTATTATAAGCTGAACTGGGTCAAACTGTCGATGTTGAACATTCTGGATAAGGTTTCTATTAATTAAAAAATTATAAACAGATCTTTAAACATACATCAGAAAATATTGAGACATTAACATTATTTGAAGAAAAAAATGACAAGATTAAATATAAGATAAACTTTGGGTAAAATGCAAAGGCAGTCTAGCCAGGAAATATTTAGAACCTCATTCTAAGAGACCCTGAGGGACTGCCGTAAAGCATTTATCTAATTTATAGCCATTTGCTCTGACCTGTGTAAAAGACATTACATAGAATATAGCAGTATTTTTAAAATATGTTTCAAAATTAAGAATCTTAAAGAAAATCCAAAAGTCTATTTACTCACCATGAAATTACAACAAATCCCAGCTCATGATAACCATCATGCTGTGTTAGTAATAGTAAATTTGTTATAGACATGCTTATATTATTTTAACATATTATTTCCAAGTCAGTAGGGCAAATCACTGGTCTTTGAACCAATACTGTGTTGTATTCAGGATTTTTCTACATGTGAGTAATTAGGTTAAGTCCTAGGATCATGAAATTGAGTAAAATACAACTCTTGTCCAAAATATTTTCTTTCTACTTATTAAAGAGTTAAAGCAAATAAACTCTTGTTTGTAATTTATATTCTTAAAGTTCAAATGCAGTTGATTACTGGGAATCTAATATATATTTTAGTAAATACTCACTAGATAAAAGAATAAATGCTTTCATCTTAAGCTGGCATCCGAATTTTTTTTCTAACTCATTCTTTCTATAAGGCCAGCATTATCCAATACCAAAACCAGACAAGGAAATAACAAAAAAAGAAAACTACAGGACAATATCTCTTATGAACATAGATGCAAAAATCCTCAACAAAATACCAGCAAACCAAATTCAACAACACATTTGAAAGATCATTCACCATGACCAAGTGAGTTTCATCCCAGGGATGCAAGTGTGGCTCAACATATGCAAATCAATAAACATTATAGATCACATTAACAAGGCCAAGAAAAAACACTATATGATCATTTCAGTATATGCTGAAAAAACAATAAAATTTAACATCCCTTTATGATAAAAACCTTCAACAAACTGCATATAGAAGAAGCATACCTCAAAATAATAAAGGCCTTGTATGACAAAGCCACAGTGAACATCATACTGAATAAGGAAAAACTGAAAGCCTTTCCTTTAAGATTTGGAACTAAACAAGGAGGCCCATTTTCACCACTTTTATTCAGCATACTACTGGAAGTCCTGGACACAGCAATTAGGAAAGAGAAAGAAATAAATGGCATTCAGATTGGAAAGGAAGAAGTCAAATTAGCCTTGTTCATAATTGACATGGCTTTACATTTAGAAAAATCTAAAGACTTCACCAAAAAAAAAAAAATGATTACGACAAATGCAAAAATTCACAAAGTTGCAGGATACAAATTCAACATAACAATAATGAGTAGCATTTATGTATGCCAACAGGGAACTATCTAAAAGAAATCAAGGAAGCAATCCCATTTCTAATCACTACAAATCACCAGGAGTCAATTTAACCAAAGTAAAAGATTTACACAAGGAAAGTGTAAAACACTGATGAAAGAAATTGGAAAAACAAAAAAAAATTGAAAATGTTTTATGCTCATGGATTTGAAGAATTAATATTGTTAATATAATACTACCCAAAGCAACTTATAGAATCAATACAATCCCTATCAAATTACCAATGACATTCTTCACAGACAGATATTTTTTAAATCCTAAAATTTATGTGGAACCACAAAAGACCCTGAAGAGCCAAAGCAATCCTGAGCAAAAAGAACAAAGCTGAAGGCACTACATTGCCTGACTTCAAAATATGCTACAAAGCTATAGTAACTAAATCAGCATGGTACAAACATAACAACAGATGCATAGACCAGTGGAATAGAATAGAGGACCCAGATATAAATCCACACATTTACAGCCAACTTATTTTTGACAAAGGCACCAAACACATAGAATAGAGGAAAGGGCAGCCTCTTCAATAAATGTTGTGGGAAAACTGGACACCCATATTCAGAACACGAAACTAGATCCTCTCTCACCATGCACAAAAATCAAATGAAAGTAGATTAAAGACTTAAATCTGAAACATGAAACTACCAGCAGAAAGCATGGGGAAATGTTCCAGGACATTGGTCTGGGAAAATAGTTTTTGTGTAAGACCTCAAAAGCATAGGCAACCAAAGCAAAAATAGAGAAATGACGTCACATCAATTTAAAAAGCTTCAGCACAGTAAAGTGAACAATCAACAAAGTGAAGTTACAACCCACAGAATGAAAGAAAATATTTGGAAACTACACATCTTACAAGGAATTAATGACCAGAATATATAAGGAGCTCAAACAACTCAGTAGAAAAAATTAAATAATCTGATTTTTAAAAAATGGACAAAAGGCCTGAATAGATCTTCCTTTAAAAAAGACATACAAATGGCCAAGTAAATGAAAAAACATTCAACATCACTAATTATCAGAGAAATGCAAATCAAAACCATAGGTATATCATCACACCCCAGTTAAAATGACTTAAATCAAGAAGACAGGCAATAACATGCTGATGAGGATGTGGAGAAAGGGGAACTGTCATACAGTGTTGCTGGGACTGTAATGTAGCCACTGTGGAAAATTGTAAATAGGTTTTTTTTTTCCAACAAACTAAAAATAGACCTAACATATAATTCAACAATCCCACCACTGAGTATATATACCCAAAAGAAAGCAAACCAATATATTGAAGCTGTATCTGTATCTGCACTCCCCTATTTATTCCAGCACTTTTAACAATAGCCAAGATGTGGAATAAACCTAAGTGTTTTTCAGTGGATGAATGGATAAAGAAAATGTGGTGTGTATGTGAGCACTGGAATACTACTCAGCCATTAAAAAATAAAATCCTCTATTTGCAACAACATGGATGAAACTGGCGGTCACTATTTTAAGTGAAATAAGCCAAGCACAGAAAGACAGATATCACATGTTCTCACCTGTATGTGGAAGCTAAAGAAATGGGTCTCATAGAGTGTAGACTGTAGATTGGCTGTTATGAGAGGCCAAGAATAGAAGTATAGAGGGAGGGTCAAAAGAGGATGATTAACAGGTAAAAATATAAAGTTTGGTAGACGAGATAAGACCTAGAGTTCGGTAGATCAGTAGGCCATAGTTTACAATAATCTATTGTGTATTTCAGAATAGCTAGAAGAGGCCGGGCGCGGTGGTTCACACCTGTAATCCCAGCACTTTGGGAGGCCGAGGTGGGCAGATTACGAGGACAGGAGATCGAGACCATCCTGGCTAACACGGTGAAACCCCATCTCTACTAAAAATATAAAAAATTAGCCGGGCATGGTGGCGGGCGCCAGTAGCCCCAGCTACTCGGGAGGCTGAGCCAGGAGAATGGCAAGAACCCAGGAGGCTTGTAGTGAGCCGAGATTGCACCACTGCACTCCAGCCTGAGTGACAGAGTGAGACTCCGTCTCAAAAAAAAAAAAAAAAAAAATAGCTAGAAGAGAATAATTTCAATGTTTCTAGCCTAAAGAAAAGACAAATATTTAAGATGATAGATATCCTGATTACACTGATTTGAGTTTTACAAATTATATGAACGCATTAAATTACTAAATGTATCCTGAGACTATGAGCATCTATTATGTATCAATAAACAAAAAAACACCAGATGCTTGCAAGGATGCAGACAAAACCCTTATATGCTGTTGGTGGGAATGTAAACTAGTATAGCCACTATGGAAAACAGGATAGAGATTTCTCAAAAATCTAAAAATAGAACTACTATATGATCCAGCACTTCTACTACTGGGTATTTATCCAAAGAAAAGGAAATTATATCAAAGGAACACCTGCAGCCTCATGTTTATTGAAGCACTATTCACAATAGCAAAGATATGGAATCAACAGAAGTGTCCATCAACAGATGAATGGATGAGGAAATATGCTATATACATACACAATGGAATACTACCTGGTCATAAAAAAGAATGAAATTCTGTCATTTGCAACAACATGGATGGAACTAGAGGACATTACGTGAAGTGAAATAAGCTAGGCACAGAAAGACAAATATTGCATTTTCTCACGCATATGTGGGAGCTTAAAAAGTTGATCTCATGGAAGTAGGGAATGGAACTATAGTTACCAGAGGCTGGGAAGGGTTGTTCTGGGGGAAGGGAGATGAAGAGTGCTTGATTAATGGGTATAAACATACAGTTGAATAGAAGAAATAAGTTCCAATGTTTGATAGCATAGTAGAATGATTATCAATAACAGCAATGTACTGTATATTTGAAAATAGCTAGAAAAGAGGATTTGAAATGTTCCTGACACATAGAAGTGATAAATATTCAAGGTGATATACACCCTAAATACCCTGATGTGATCATTACACATTCTATGCATATAGCAAAATACCACATGTATGCCATACAAATGGACAAATAATATGTAGGTTTTTAAAAAATAAAACTTAAATCTAAAAAAAGAGTTAAAGGGAATATACTCTTTATTTATATTTTTGAGTTTGGATTTCAGGGAAGGGCGCTGAATATATAGTGTATATTTGGTAAATATTCACTGAGTAAATGAATAAATGCCTTTCTCTTAAACTGGTAGCCAATCTTTTTACAGTTTTTTTATTTGATGTTGGATGTTTGTGCTTTTCTTTTTCTCCCAGATTAAATATTTCAAATGTTTTATTGATTTTATTATCAACCATAATCAATTCCTTTATTTTTTTCTCTTTTCTAATTTATGTCTATGATGGTTAATACCGAGTGTCAACTTGATTGGATTGAAGGATGCAAAGTATTGATCCTGGGTGTGTCTGTGAGGGTGTTGCCAAAGGAGACTAATATCTGAGTCAATGATCTGGGGAAGACAGACCCACCTTTAATCTGGTGGGCACCATCTAATCGGGGGCCTGCAAATATAAAGCAGGCAGAAAAATGTGAAAAAGTGAGACTGGCCTGGCCCCCCAGCCTCCCACATCTTTCTCCCTTTCTCCCGTGGTGGATGCTTCCTGCCCTAGAACATCGGACTCTAAGTTCTTCAGTTTTGGGACTTGGACTGGCTCTCCTTGCTCCTCAGCTTGCAGACAGCCTATTGCATATTGTGGGACCTTGTGATCATGTAAGTTAATACTTAATAAAGTCATATATATATATATATGTTTATATAGAACCAATATGATATATGTATCCTATTAGTTCTTTTCCTCTAGAGAACCCTAACTAATACGATGTCTTTTATTTATTCATTGGTACATACATATATGTATGAAAACAACTCATTTATTTAAAAAGGAATACAGTCATGCACAAACTTATGTGATACAAATAGAAATAGAATCTAATGGGGATGCAAGAAAATGAGGGCTGACTCTTCTTGAGTAAGGGGCTCGGGATCAGAGAAGACAGCCTTAAAGAAGAAGTGACAATAAAGTGAAATATTAAAAATTAAGAAAGAGTAGACATTAAAATTTTAAATTGACATAAGAGTTCAAATTTAAAAGTCAGGAAAATAATTGTTTAGAAATAATGGGAAGATAAATAGGGTTACTAATTTTTTAACCATTGATTATATATATATACATATATAGTAACAACTGCCTTGGAAGCACCGTTATAAGATCTGTAGCAATAAATGTGAAGGCAAAAGTTCCTACCCTTAAGTAGTATGTATTCAAGGATGTGTACAGAGGAGACAGTTAATAGATATATAAATTACATGTGTTGGGTAATGGAGTTACTATGAAGAAAATCAAGGCCAAATAACTCAGTAAAAGTCAGTAGCAATGGGTTGGGTGGAGTGGAAGGAGTATACTAGGTTGGCCAAGGAAGACTTCCTAAAGAAATGACATTATTTGTGCAGAAAAGAGAATCAGGTTTTCGTCTTGTTTTAAATTTAGATGAACATTTGATGTCCAAGTAGTAACATTAGGTAAACCAAGGAATATGAATCAGCAATTCAGCAGAAAGGTTGAGTCCTAAGATACAAATTCAAACATTTTAAACTGTAACTAGTATCTAAAACTACAGACTGGATGAACTTAAGGTGCACTTAAGTATAATCATAAGGAACAGGAAAAAGTTACAAAATAAAATTTTAAAATTTTACTTTACTATGGGATTAATAATAAAAATATTAGAGTAACTGTGGAATTAATTTGTCTTCCTAAGAATATTAGAGTAATTGTAGAATTAATTTGCCTTCCTAAGTTTACAAGTACAAAATATATAGCTGTTAATTCCCCCAAATTGTAAACATGTTTAATGGCTTAAAAATTCCAATGACTTTTCTTTAATATTATAAAACAATTCCAAATTCACGTGAAACAACAAGTGGAATAGAATAATACAGAAAATGTTGAGTAAATAGAATGAAGACAAATATTCTATATTATATTTTTAAATTATGATAATTATAAATATTTATGATGTAAGAATTAACATAAAATGTGTGAAACAGCAGAAAGTTTAGAAACACACCCAAACATATATAGACCATTTAGTGAAATCAGTCTCACAGATCATCAAAAATGTACAAGTTTAAATAATTTACTGTCATTTTTATATCCCAAATTGGTAAAGATTCAAAACAATGAAATCATCCAGGGTTGGCAACATGGGAGTTGACAGGCATTTTCATATGGTTGGATTGGGAGTGTAATTTTTCCAGTCACTCCAAGGGCAATATGGCAGTTAACATCAAGACTCTTAAACATGTACAAGCTTTTAACCCATTAACTCTACTTCCTGAAATGTGTTATGAAGAAACAATCATAGTTAAGCAAAGAGTCCTTTACAGAATATGACTGCAGCCAGTTAGTTAGAAGTAGATTGCTTGAATTAGGCAGGGGTGTGTTACATCATTAACTATTTCATCAGGTTCTCAAAATTGGGTTTGAATTTCAGAAATTCCAGAAATTGCTCAAGGTACATTAAGTGAATAAAATATGTAACTGCAAGTTCATAAGAAAAAATGTATAAATGTATAAATCTATTCAAATATGAAAGTGTTAACTCGTTATCTTTTGTTGGGCTAAGGAGAATTTTATTTTATTCTAATCTTTACTCTTTTTTTAGTGTTTTACAATGATTGCACAATAATTTTATAATCATAAAAATGTTCTAAAACATAAACCAAAGGCACACTGTCTGTAAGGCTACAAATGGGGAAAAGGCCTCAGTGTCCTCATTTCTGAAATACTAATCTATCTCTTGAGTCTTGTGAGATTGTTGTGAGAAGCAGGAGAGGGATGAAATGTTCCAGAGTGCATTAAGAGACATAAAGAGGCTGGGCTTATCCGTGCTTCTAGGACACTAAGGTGCCACTGAAGCATTTTGTCAATTGCCTTAAATCTTTCACTTGGGCACCATGAGTGCACTAATGACATAGGGTGGCCTAGTTGTATCCATTTCTTACACAAGGTGTTTACTCCTACAGGAAGCTGGCTCCAAGGTTGCAAGACCACCAGGTCGCTCAAGGATTCTACAAGCAGACCTTGGCAAGGCAAATGTATAAGTACTAGTTAAAGGTTAAGAAAAGTTCTGGTCTCCTTACTGAACCCAGGAGACGTAGAAACGCAAGTGTGTATGATTATGGACCACTAAGCAAGGAAGTGCTTCACCGGCCTCAGAGGTCGTGGGAGTCCCAGAGCAGGCTCTTTGCAGGGAAGGAAGCAAAAGAGGGCAAGTAACTGGAGTAGTTTAACAATAAGACTGGTTTACTGAGGTTAGGCTCAATAAAACTGTTTGGGCCTGCTATTGGTGGGCAGACTAATTGCACAACAGAGATTCAGGCCAGGTTTGGCCACAGTTGCAACGTGCTGGTTATTTTCCTGCAGGGTCACAAGACGTGTCTCCTGACTCTAGTGACAGCTGTTTAGTGCTGTAGACCCTGTCCTGGGCCGTGCTGTAATGTTCACGTGAAATGTACAAGAGTTGATATGTTTGTTTCACAAGCAAAATAATCTTAGAACCATCATGAATTGTGTGCTTTATTATGCTCAGTTTACAAATTAACGGGAGGAATTTTACTCTGCCCTGAAGGTTCTATCAGAAAACAGAACTAGGAATTATTTCTCCCACTTCTATTGTAGTAAAGAACATAATTCTTCTTCTGACCCCCTGCTTGGGCCTAGTTTTCAAGAAAATGTGTATAACAAAATGCTACTGCATGAGAAAGGTAAAGGAAATATAGGAGCCCACTATAAGAAAACCAATATGAAAACATTTAACTATGAAATAAAATGTGTTTGCAACAGATGTTTTATGTGTAAAATGTTTAAAGACAGCTTTTTAAGTAACAAATGAACTTTGTAATTAAGCTCTCAGTTTTTCAGGACTCTCATTCATTCATTCATCCATTTATTCAACAAATATGTGTGACTATATATAGTCCTTGTAGTCCAGACGCCATTCAGTGAAACATACAAAAGTGAATGGCACTTAATATCTATCCACAGAGAGAGCTTCAGGAAACAAACATACAAACACATGCCCTCACCATGAAATAAGTAGTAATAAAAATGTTGAAAACAGTACATTTATTTTAAGATAGAATGAGAGGTACAAAGGAGATAATGTAGTATTTTATAAAAACTACCGTAGTCATTTCAGGTAGTAAATTACTGCTTCAAAGTTGTATTGAAAGGACGGTCTGGAGTGGAATAACGAGCATGAGCTTTAAAACATGGAGCGTTTAATTGACATAGTAGTTAAGTGAACTTTAATTCTTCTTTTGAGTTTCCATAATTTCACTCTCTCATCAATGTTTTTCTCTAAAAATCTTTTTTTTTAAGACAGAGTCTCGCTCTGTCAGCCAGACAGAAGTGCAGTGGCACAATCATAGCTCAGCGCAGCCTCCAACTCCTGGGCTCCAGCAATCCTCCTGCCTCAGCCTCCTGAGTAGCTGGGACTACAGGCATGTGACACCATACATGGCTAATTTTTAATTTTTTGTAGACATGAGGTCTTACTATGTTGCTCAGGCTGGTCTTGAATTCCTGGACTCATGCAATCCTCCTGCCTCAGCCTTTCAAAGTACTAGGATTACAGGTGTGAGCTGCAGTACCCAGCCCTAAAAATCCCAGAAAATAGAAGAATAATGTAAACATTATTCTTACATTATTATTGTTATATACTATTATATGTTATTTTGAAAGAATAACATAAGCTCTGTATACTTTAAGAATCTACATGCAGGCCGGGTGCAGTGGCTCACGCCTGTAGTCCCAGCACTTTGGGAGGCCGAGGTGGGCGGATCACAAGGTCAGGAGCTCGAGACCATCCTAGCTAAAATGGTGAAACCCTGCCTCTACTAAAAATACAAAAAATTATCCGGGCGTGGTGGTGGGCGCCTGTAGTCCCAGCTACTTGGGAGGCTGAGGCAGGAGAATGGCGTGAACCCAGGAGGCAGAGTTTGCACTGAGCTGAGATCGCACCACTCCACTCCAGCCTGACAGACACAGGGAGACTCTGTCTCAAAAAAAAAAAAAAAAAAAAGGAATCCACATGCATGTTTAGTATTTTAATAGTAACAGTTTCTTGTGAGTCCAGAAGAAAATTATTTCAATGTATTATATTTTGAGAATCTGAAAACATACATGAGTCAATATTTTTATAATTGTGTGAATCATGAGTTTCATACTCCTAATTTAACAGGAAAGCATGTGAAGTACTTGCTATTGTCAAAGTGGCTTCTAATTCCACGTCTGCTACTACCACAGCTACTATTGCTACCACCATCGTTATTACAAATAGAAGTAGACATATGTTCAGATGCTGCATACTCAACTGCTGACCACCGACTCTTCCAAATACAACCAGAAAAATTTATTACAAAAAAAGCTAAGTTCCTTACACTGACTGAAGTAAAAGAGAACACTACTTTGACATAATATTAGTACTGTTTAGCTGAAGAGGGATGTCAGGAAAAGATATTTATTAATACATTATCCCAGGGTCTGGGATGTGTGATATTTAAGGCGATTCTTAAAAGGCTCAAAATATTTCTGGGATGGACAGAGATAGTGAAATAATAGCTTTAGACAGTGGGCATAGCAAAGAGAGGACCTTGAAGTGAGCTGTGAAGAGCAAGCCATTAGTCTTGATAAGTGAGCTGTTTTGATGGGTTCAGTCTTACTTCTGAAGCCATTAGTCTTGATAAGTGAGCTATTTTGATGGGTTCAGTCTTATTTCTGAAGAGCAACTATTTCTTGGAGCAAGTAATTAAGTTTTCTTGGCTTCAGTAAAAAATAAGTTTTTATTTTTTATTTACTTTTTACTTTTTTGAGACAAGGTCTCACTCTGTCACCCAGGTTGGAACGCAGTGGTGCAATCTCAGCTCACTGCAACCTCTGCCTCCCAGGTTCAAGAGATTCTCCCCCTCTAACCTCTTGAATAGCTGGGACTACAGGGGCATGCCACCACACCTGGTTAATTTTTGTATTTTTAATAGAGACAGGGTTTCACCATCTTGGCCAGGCTGGTCTCGAACTCCTGGCCTCAAGTGATTTGCCCACCTCAGCCTCCCAAAGTGCTGGGATTATAGGCATGAGTCACCATGTCCAGCCTGTTTTTAGTAGCTTTTAACATAGGCTGTTTTATTCTAAGCCATGATGTTGAGGGAACATTCTCAAGTTAGGTTACCCATTTGGATTCTTAAAAACTAAAAGATGAGTAAAACATACTGGAAAAGTAAATATAATAGCGATCAAGATACTGCTAGCAAACTTCTGACCCACCAAAATCAAATCTATGTATGCATACATATATAATATGATCATGTCGAAGTTATACATGTTTGTAAGATTTGAAGATTACATCGTTGTAATAGATGTTAAAGCCTTGAAAGGCCTTAATAATGAGATGTAAAGTTATGTATATTCCCATATCTGAAACGTGATTCCAGAGGAATAAATTATCAGGTCCAGATTTGAAAGATGACATGACAGAAGAGCCAGCAGGATTGAGGTGAGGAGTTACTCGGCCTGATCATTTGAAAGCCTGCGTCTCTGTTTGATGGCCTTGTTTTGAGTTATGACTTAGGAAAACCAAATTTGGACATCACTTTCCATTTACTACTTATCCCTATGCAGCAGAGAAACCATAGAAAACACCTTGAGGAATACATATAAATTGTTTTTAAATATGTACATGCCATCTCTTCAGCCCGGGCTTAGTCTCTCCTCCTCTTTTTTCTCATTTTGGTTTATGTTTCCCTATTGTACTACAGCTTAAATAACAACTTTTTGAGAATAAGTGTTGCTACTTTCAGACATGTCACGATGAAACCTGCTTCAAAATAATATTTTGTTTAGAAGTGTCAAAATGTCATTCTAAGAGCATGGGTTTGAAGTCAGTGACATCTGGTTTGACTCTTGGATCTGGCATTGGCCACTTGTGTAACTCTGGGTAATTAACTTATGGAAGTCTCTATTTTCTCCATTCTAAAGTGGGAATAATGACACCTGTCATGGGGCTGATGCAGGCATTAAATGAGCTTCTCCTAAGTCCTTTTAGCAAATGCCAAACATATAGCAAATGCCATGGGTTAAATTGTGTTCCTGAAAAAATTTCTATGTTAAAGCCCTAACCCCAGAAGAATAGGATCTTATTTAAAAATAGGGTCTTTGCAGAAGAAATAGTTAAGATGGGGTCGTTACGATGGACCCTAATTCAATATAATTTGTATCTTTCTGAAAAAAAGGATACCTGGACACAGAGCAAGGCACACAGGAGAGCACCACGTGAGCATGACGGAGGTGAGCATGACTCCTCTGTGAGCCAAGGAATGACAAGGGTTGCCGGCAAACCTCCGAAAGCAAGGAGAGAGGCCTGGAACAGGTCCTGGGAAGAGGACAATAGGTGGAGGCTGGAGAGATACAGCAAAGAACAGAAGGCATTGCAAGTCATGGGAAGAAGTCAAGATTCTAATTTTTTTTTTTTTTTTTTTGAGACGGAGTGTCGCTCTGTCACCCAGCCTGGAGTGCAGTGGTGTGATCTCGACTCACTGCAACCTCTGCCTCCCGGGTTCAAGAGATTCTCCTGCCTCAGCCTCCCGAGTAGCTGGGACTACAGGCGCCACCACCATGCCAGGCTAATTTTTGTATTTTTAGTAGAGACAATGTTCACCATCTTGGCCAGGCTGGTCTCGAACTCCTGACCTCGTGATCCACCTGCCTTGGCCTCCCAAAGTGCTGGGATTACAGGCATGAGCCACCACGCCCAGCCCTGAGCCACCGCACCCGGCCGCTAATTTTTAAAAATCTTATTGGAATAGGATTGAAAGCTTTACAATAAGAAAAATGTTTAAACCTATTATTTGTTTTTTTTTTTTTTTTTTGACTCCTGTCTGGAGCTTACTTTAACAGAAGATGAGATGCAATGGGAGACTAGTGAATGAACCACCACACAAGGGCAGGACAGATAATGATGACTGGAACTAGGTTGGTACTTGGGAATAGGAGAAATTGGATACATTTAAGGTGTCATTGGTGGTGGAATGAGCACAGAACTAGATTTTGGACTGATTTTGGGGAGTAAGCATATCCCAGAAGCAGCTGCCGAGTTGATCGACTTGGAGAACAGTGCTAATAGTCACGCAGGTGCAGGTAGGGAAATCAGGGAGGACCGTAAGCCAGTGTTAATTCGTTGTCACCTCACCAGTGTTCGCTTACTATTTTGCATGTATGTTGAAAGCAGTAGGTTGTTTCAGGCAGACTCTGAGTTCAGTAGTCATTTGCATAATTAAAGAATGGAAACCATTTGATTTGTTGAGCACCCACCATTAGGTGCTTAGAGCAAACACCTACAGTTTTCATTTCTTTTCATTTTCACTCCAATTTCTCACCCATTTTTTTAAAAAAATAAACTAATACAAAAGTGAAGTTGAATTAACTACCAAATAAAGTCTTGATAATCTACAACTGCTTGTCAAAATTATCTTAGTTCTTTTACATCTCTCTGATTTTTATTTTATTTAGACACATTTGAAATGTGTAAGAGCAAATCTTTTCAGAAAATTTAATTATGAAGCAAGTTTACCAAAAATGTGCTTCATTGCACATTAGCTCCTAGAATTGAATTGTGAACAAACTCTCAGTGGTCAAGTAGCTATTGTTTTTGATCATATATAGGAAATTCACATATGTTTCTTGTATGGCTTATAATGCAGATTAAAAGTTCTGAGAATTAAATAAAATAAGCCTAATCAAATCAAAACAGAAGAAAACAATTACAGACAATATCCTAAAATTCTGTTTAACTTTGTTTAATCAAAGTAGTACCCATATGGATACTTATGACCAACTGGACTCTATCCCTTTTAAAAGAACCCTAATGCCCTTTGAAAATGGCACCAGCCCTGTGTAGGTTTATTGGAACTATCAGCTAGGAGTTCACTTTTTAAAAAATCAGTTTATCAAGGGACAGTGTTTGCTGTGTGTGAATAAGGGCACATAACCAAAAAACCTAACTCAATGCTTCCCCAGCCTTTTCCACATCCTGGCACTCACGTAAAACAATTTGTTCAGCATTCTGGGCTATATAAATGAGGCTGATCATATCTGTCTCTAGTCTCACAACCCTGCTCAGGCACCCGAAGGACGAAGGTGCCTCAGATCTCTTCACCCTCTTATAGCAGTGCTTGTACACAGGATACAACATACAACAGGCATAACAGTGCAAATGTGTGAGGACTTCTGCTCCAATTGATACACCCATTGTTTCTGAGACTTCTTTAGACACCAAGTCATTTTTCTAATCCTCTAAATACTTGTAAATATTATGTGGCACTAGTAGCCCACAGAAGCCCACTGGCCAATTCCACTGTGAGGATCATGGGAATCGCACTGTGTGTACAGCACAGTCGCTGCTCTCAGAGAACATACAATCTCTGATGACCTCCATGCTTCTGCTTGGATTCGGACACAGCTTGACCACTACGAGTCATCGATTTATGCAAAGTGTTGTGCAAAATAAATTCAACATTGACGATGACTGATATGATGGCCTGCTCTGTTGAGAGTGTGGGGAAGCATGAAGGCAGTGTTTTACTGTCTGTGTTCTCACATTGACTGTTCTGATGGTATGCCTATTAAAATTATTGCCTTTAACCAGTGTTTAGGATATATTTTCTTTCTATTTTTTAAACTACTCTACAATCTACAAAATTGTTCCTTTGATTCTTTATAAAGATTTTAGATGAAAAGTAAACTCGGGGTTGGATATTACCTGGAAAATCCCTTCCTCTTCCCTCGTTTTATTAATCAGGAGTAGTTAGGACACTAGTGAGCACACAGTAAAGACATTGGGTCTTCATCAAATATTTACCAACAGGCTACTTGCTTTCAAAACAGCACAGAATTTGTTTGAGATTCTGGCTCTGATGTTTGCTATGTGTGAATAAGGGCACTTAATTCAGAATTATGGTGACAATTACATGGAATAATGTGTGTTAAGGGGTTTAGCACGGTGCCTGGCTTATACTAATCATTCAACAAGCATAACTAAGAAAAATTAAAGATTACTATGTGCCTATTCTGGCTGTCACAATATGACAAAAATTAAAAACCACAATCCCTTTGGTGATAGGTTAGAAAGATTAAAGGGAAAGAAAGGAGTCTGAAAGAGTCTTGGCTGAGAGATGATCAGCTTCTAACTAGAGCAGTTAGCGTAGAATTATTCTATGTTAGAATACATTCTAACTAGAGCAATAGCGTAGAAGAGAGTCTGTGGATTGGGATGACTGGACAGTATAAAATCGAGAAGTGGTGTCCAAAACATGAGATCCCAGAGGCGGCCTGTGTGATTTGCCGAGCTGGACTGCCCTTTCTGTGGTCAGTTGGAACATCAGATTCAGCAGTTATTTTAAAACTGTGACACTGTAAATAAGTTCCCATGGCAGCATCCACAATGATTACATTCCTCGTAAGTTTCTTCGGAAGACTAAAAGTGACTAAAAGCAGCAATCTACATAAATCTATCATTTATTAGTCTTTATTAAAGTTCATGCCCCATGTTCTGTAATTCCTTTCAGGCACCTGCCTTTTTTGCTTCAAGCTTTCATATTAACTTGCTTGTAATACTTGGTAATATCAAGCAATCATATGAACCTTGTGATGGCTGTCTATGTTTGGAGGATTCAAACAATAATTTATGGTTTTATGGAGAATAGGAGGAAGAAAGAAGAAAGAAAGGAGAAGTATTTGTTGACTGTTCCATAAGCCAGAAACAGTTGTCTACTCTCCAACTAAAAATTTTTAATGTTATACTTTTTCAATTACAAAGCATATGATTGAAGAAAAGACGGATTTTAGGGCTGATTTTTAGTGTTATCTGGTGACTACAGACACACTATGGTCAAAGCCTAGTACAAGTTGAAGGCCTAACAGTCAAGAGTAATTTCATTTCCATAAATAGGTTTCCTTCTTGTTTCTAGATGATATAAATAGATTTCCTTCCTTGAAGTTATTCTTGTACTACTAAGTAACTGGCGAGATTCAGTTGAGGTTCTGCTGCAGAAATTTAAAAAGACATATTATGGAATCATGGTGACTCCTCTATGAGCCCCAAGGCCATCTTTTCTCTGTGTCAGTCTCCATCTCTGTGTTTCTGTGCCCAATGTTCAGATAAAGCAACTTAAATACAAAGAAATTACAGCTCCATTAATAAAGAGATGTCAAGATCAAGCACGTAATTCTATTTCTTGTGTGATACATATCCTTCCTTGTCACAATTTTTCACTTAGGGAGGCACGTTAATTGCTTTGGGACACTACAGTGGCAATTAGTGCATCCTAGCCACACCCGGGATATTGCTGCAGGATAGTCCACCAAATAATAATCATAAGAGATCATATAAGTGCTTTCTACACTGTTTTATGTAATATTCTTAGAACATGTTTTTAGTTTTTTGAATCATAAGTTTTTTTTCAAAAATTTAATCCATATGGCCAGTTTAAGAAAGAGATTCTTTATCAGTATAAAGTGGATTTCAGAGTCACTGGGAGGACTGAAAACACAGTCTACACTTTGCTTTTGGGAACTCCCAAACATACCCCTGAGGGACGACTGCACCTTTCACTCTCAGAAGCCCCTGCTGGAGTGAGAAGCCACTAGTTGTATGGCCAGCTCCAGCATCACTCTGTCTCTGATAAAATGTGTGTCTAGGAATTGTGTCACCTGCACCTTGCCTCTTTTCCCATGTAGCTCAGTTTCAAATCCAAGCCTCAAAAGACAGCATTGATCGGATTTTTCTACCTAAAATGATATCCAGAACTTCAGTGGCAGCAGATCTGAGAAGTGCAGCATTGCCCACACGGTCTTAGTGAGGAAGGCCCCTAGGATGTAGCTGTAACTGAACAGCTCCTCAGAGTCAGCTGCATGCTCACTAAATCATCTACTCCTCACTGCCACCAGGAGAGATACAGGTAGCATTCCCATTTTATAGATGACACCAAGGCCAGCCAGGTCACATCCCTGTGTAGGGTCACACAACTAAAAGAAAGCCAAGGCTGGGTGCAGTGGCTCATGCCTGTAATCCCAGCACTGTGGGAGCCCAAGATGGGCAGATCACGAGGTCAGGAGATCAAGACCATCCTGGCTAACACGGTGAAACCCCGTCTCTGCTAAAAACGCAAAAAATTAGCCAGGCGTGGTGGCAGGTGCCTGTAATCCCACCTATTCGGAAGGCTGAGGCAGGAGAATTGCTTGAACTCAAGAGGCTGAGCTTGCAGTGAACCAAGATTGCAGCACTACACTCCAGCCTGGGTGACAGAGCGAGACTCCATCTCAAAAATAAGTAAATTAATTAAAAAAAATTTAAAAGAATAAAAGAAAGCCAAACAAGCATTATAACCTGGACATGCTGCCCCCTGAGTCTTCACTCTGCTCCTCTCACTGGGCTGTCCCTGCAGAGACTCACAGGGACTGTTCCTGTGTATGGAAAGTCACTGCAATATGTACAGGGGTGTGTGTGTACTGAAAGTCATTTCTATATGGTTTACTTTCTGTATTACTCCATTCTCACATTGCTAATAAAGGCATACCAAAGACTGGGTAATTTATAAAGAAAAGAGGTTTAGTTGGCTCAAAGTTCAGCAGGGCTGGGGAGGATACAGGAAACTTACAATCATGGCGAAAGGGGAAGCAAACACGTCTTTCTTCACATGGCGGCAGCAAGGAGAAGTGCCGAGCAAAAGGGGGAAAAGCTCCTTATAAAACCATCAGATCTTGTGAGAACTCACTCACTATCACGAGAACAGCATGAGGGTAACCACCCCCATGATTCAATGACCTCCCACCGAGTCCCCCAACAACATGTGGGGATTATGGGAGCTACAATGCAAATTGAGGTTTTGGTGGGGACACAGGCCAACCGTATCACTTTCCCATGCCTGTTGGCTATGATCAAAGTCAACATACGGTAAAGGGAGAACAACGAGAAAGAAAACCTGGAAATCTAGATTTTAGTCCAGGTTCTCGTCTATGAGGTGGGTTAGGAGAAACGAAATTACGTGGCTTTTGTTTCTCTTTTAGGCAGATGGGATAAATCAGCATATTCCAGAGGATTCTTCATGAAATATTACCTGAAGATGTTCCTCAGAAAAATAGCTCTATGACTACATAAAGGTGCAAAATGCTGTACAATACACTGAGCTCTTAGAAATTTACAATCACAGGCATTTTAAAGCACTAAGTATAGCAAAAAAAGAAAAGGTTTAGATTTCTTCAACTCAGATTTTTTTAATCCTATTTAATGATACACCATCTTTTTTCATTTAATATCCCTTAGAAATAGAGGTAAAAGATCGTTAAAGGTCTTTGTCAAAGGCAAATGATTGTAATGACTTTTTCCAAGTACTCAACATAATCACAGCATGCATTAGTGAGGACTATTCTGGTTGCAAGAAACATGAATCCAGTCCAACTACTTTAAGTAAAGAACATTCAATAGACGACTACATGAGCTTTACATGAAAATGAAGGCGAGGGAAGCCACAGAGTATCAGGAATAAAGTGAACACAGCAGAGACATAAGAAGGAGGCTGTATTGTCATCTTACATCTCTGTTTTCTTGTGTGTGCCCAAGCTTGGAGGAATCTTTTTCTTGGTTCACGTGACTGGAAGCATGGCTGCAGTCATTCCAAGTTAACATGTTCTTGTTCAGTCTTCTGGAAAGACATTCAATAAAATCTTTCTTGGCTCCAATGTAACATTTTTATGGAAAGAACTAATGTGAATCAGGTGTCCATCCCTGGGCAAATTGCTTGTGGCCAGAGAGATAAGGTCATCATTTAAAAACACAATTCCTCTTATTGTAACATGTAAATACACTAAGGAAATGCAAGCCAATACCCAGAAATGGGGGAGTGAGCTAGGCACAGACCACGATAGCTATGAGTGTTTGGTTAATACTGGATTTTATTGGCCAAATAGCTCTATTTTGGTCATTGGTAAGGACTGTTAAACCAATTCTGCTCCAAATTCAAATTTGGGTTCAAAGATTTTTACATTTAGTATGAAGCTTAAATATGTAGTCTTGAAGGAATTTACTGTTAACAAGAAAAAGAATGGAGTAACTGGCCTGTCTCAAAGTGGTGTTGTATGACTTCCTTGATTGATCTGAAACAACACTGATTGATCCAAAGCAACACTGAATGTCACGGTGTATTTGCGAAGTACTTAACTCTAAAGATAATTAATTCTCTCCTTGTGCCTTAATTTAAGTCTTTGGAACCATGGCTTTAAATATCTCACTCGATTTTCCAGGCAATAGGCAAGAACTAATGGATGTTTTATGAGTCTGTTGGAGACCAGTCAACCACGGCTGCTCCATTCTATTTTATTGTTGGCTTATCACCAGCTTGGCCATCGCAGAGAAAAATGAGATTCAACTAAACTTCTTAATGGCAAGAATTTAATCTGTGAAGTCAGTACAGGTACTGGAGTAAATTTTGTATCAGGAATATATTCTTTCCAGATTCATATTATTTGTACCTTCTCTAGGAAGTGAAAAAGTTTGTTCTCAAACTCAAGATGATGCTATTAATTTCATTAAGTGAACTTAATAGGTAAATTAGTCACATTACTAAAATAGATAAATTTGTCACATAGATTATGCTTCTGGGAAAGAAAATAGCCATTCTAGAATGTTTAAAGATGCCCTTCTTTATCTCTCAGCTTTCTTACAAACCTGATAATTTAGGGTAACACACATATCCTGTGAATAGACCAGATTCCCTAGAAGACAAATGCTATCAAGGGCATGCATCAGAGTGATTAAGAGTATTATTTTCTACCTTCTACATCTCTTTTTAACCCATACCTCAAGCATCTATTTCTCTCTGCACAAGCTTCACCCCACCTTACACATCTCAAATTAGCATGAGCAATTTAAAAGGCTCCAGATTAGGTGGCTTAGGACCAAGAAAATGATTGACAGACATGAATCCCAGTGAGGGGAGCTGGACTTTAGCTTTGCTCCTGAAATGAAACTGCATTTCAAATTACACTTTTGGTAATCACCAGAATAATTATAACATTAATGAGTTCTTCCTATTTGCTAAGTTCCATGTGAGTCTGCGTGTATATTGTCTTTTTTCATCTCATCTGCACAATCACCCAGTGACGCAGGTATTCTTGTTCCTATTTTAAAAACCAGGAGCCTTGGTTATGATGAAGTAAAAAGCCTGGGCAAGGTGACATAGATGTACATGACAGAAACAGGACTGGAACTTAAGACTGACGCCAAATTCCAGGTTAGAGAATGGAAGGAGTTAACACACTTAAATTAAATACCTTCTGGGTGTTCTGTGCTTTGTCTCTGACCTGATGGATTCCTAGAGCTCTTGCCCTTATGAAACCTGCCTGTGCCTTGCTTTTGTGTCCTGGCCTTTCTCTAAGGTGTGGACTGAAGTCCTGTTCCAGACCCCGTCACCGTTCCTTAGGGCAATTACCTACATACACACATGCTGTGCGGGACATCCAGACCCCTGTAATGATCACAGGTTCATTTCTAGTCACTTTGCTGATGGAAACAGCAGCCCAGTTTGCTTTGGCTTGAATATCCATGAGGATAACTGGATATTGTCTTTGTTATCAGATTTCCTGGACACTCTCTCTTGGCACCACACTCCTCAATTCTGTCCTCCAAGAGGAGAGAAAACTTTAAATTTATCATCTAAACTTTGAGACTTGAGAGTCAAAGGATGTGCTATTAACTAATAATTAGGCTGTATTGGATCCTTGACAGTCAAAGAGTGTGCTATTAACTAATAATTATGCTGGGACCACAGATCTGTATTGGATCCTTGAGAGTCAAAGAGTGTGCTATTAACTAATAATTATGCTGTATTGGATCCTTGAGAGTCAAAGAGTGTGCTATTAACTAATAATTATGCTGTATTGGATCCTTGAGAGTCAAAGAGTGTGCTATTAACTAATCATTATGCTGGGACCACAGATCTGTATTGGATCCTTGAGAGTCAAAGAGTGTGCTATTAACTAATAATTATGCTGGGACCACAGATCTGCATTGGATCCTTGAGAGTCAAAGAGTGTGCCATTAACTAATAATTATGCTGGGACCACAGATCTGCATTGGATCCTTGAGAGTCAAAGAGTGTGCCATTAACTAATAATTATGCTGGGACCACAGATCTGCATTGGATCCTTGAGAGTCAAAGAGTGTGCCATTAACTAATAATTATGCTGGGACCACAGATCTGTATTGGATCCTTGAGAGTCAAAGAGTGTGCTATTAACTAATAATTATGCTGGGACCACAGATCTGCATTGGATCCTTGAGAGTCAAAGAGTGTGCTATTAACTAATAATTATGCTGGGACCACAGATCTGCATTGGATCCTTGAGAGTCAAAGAGTGTGCTATTAACTAATAATTATGCTGGGACCGCAGATCTGCATTGGATCCTTGAGAGTCAAAGAGTGAGCTATTAACTAATAATTATGCTGGGACCACAGTTCTGCATTGGATCCTTGAGAGTCAAAGAGTGTGCTATTAACTAATAATTATGCTGGGACCACAGATCTGCATTGGATCTGTCCTGAGGAACACACAGTACAAGGTTTCTCTACTTTTGGACACTCTAATCTCAGAGGGCAACACTAAGTATAGGTCCCACCTGATGTCTCTTTGCTTGGAATTTCTATCGTTAATCGTTATTTAATATTTTACAACAATCATAGTTACTACATGTATTGGCCTATATTAGTCATATAAAGCATTATGCTAAGTCCTTTATATGTAAATGGCTCCTCCTCACATAAAATATTGAAGAGTATTGTAATTGTGCCCAATTTTTATATACGGCAAAGTAATGGTTAGAAATTAGTTCTCTGGTGCCAAGCTAGATTTCTTTTTTGTTTTTCTTTTTCTTTCTTTCTTTTTTTTTTTTTTTTTGAGACGGAGTCTCGCTCTGTCGCCCAGGCTGGAGTGCAGTGGCGCGATCTCGGCTCCCTGCAAGCTCCGCCTCCCGGGTTCACGCCATGCTCCTGCCTCAGCCTCCCGAGTAGCTGGGACGACAGGCGCCCGCCACCACGCCCGGCTAATTTTTTGTATTTTTAGTAGAGACGGGGTTTCATCGTGTTAGCCAGGATGGTCTCGATCTCCTGACCTCGTGATCTGCCCGCCTCGGCCTCCCCAAGTGCTGGGATTCCAGGCGTGAGCCCCCGCGCCGGGCCGGTGCCAAGCTAGATTTCTGTACCTTGTAGTGTGAAGCCTTGGGGATTTTGACAAAATTAAGAATATTGCAGGTGTTGATTGTACTTCCAAGACATATTCTACCCACCTAACAAGATGAATAACAGAGTTCTTTTCTCATAAGACAGTCACACCACTTGCTCCAGTAGAAGAGGTAGTGGGCCAGAGCCCCTGAAGTACGTGGTGAAATTCTTGTCACAAGTGTTGCCTCCAGGAAACAGGCTTCAATCGACATTTTTTTCTCAAGGACAGCGGAAAACAGTGCGCACTGTAAGATCAGAGCCAGGAGAAAATTGGGCTGATTGCACGACAGGCAAATATCTCACAGGAGATACTTGGAGCTCAGGGGAGGACGAGCAGCTATTGCCAGAGGAGATACCGCCTGTGACCCGCAGTGCGAGCCAGGACGCAGACACCAGGGACAATCGTGCTGTCCCCACCGAGGAGCTCTGATATACGCCCTGGAGCAAGGCCATGTTCCTCCGTGATGGCACCAAGTCAGACTTACTGCTGCTCCTCCCTGCCAACCCCAGCCCTGAGCTCACTCTACAAGATCTGCCACATCACCTATGTGTGTTGGTTACACAAAGCCCGCCTTTTCACCACTCACAGGTTCACACCTGCCAACATATGAAGTACGCATATTTACATGTGATTTTCTTTTCCGCTTACCATGTTTACTTTTAAAGGAGGAATACCTTGAAAACACCCTGACTGTTGTTCTGCCAAGCATCATTAATGTACTTCATCTCAATGCCATTTTATTATTCAGATTCGAGGAACACCCTTAATATTTTACCAGAGTAAGATGTGTTTTTGCCATCACGAAGTATCCAGAGGGTCTGCCAAAGAGAGTTTACACAGGAAACTCATGAAATTTAAGACATGTCATAGAGAAGAATGTGGTCAAATCAGGACTTCCATACCACCTGCTCCCATTGTTTAATTCACATGAAGCGATGGATCAAAATGAAGTGAAAACTAAAGAGAGAAAACATACAGTGTCATTGAGACATGTTTCCAGTGTCAAGGACTATGTAAACCATCCGCCTCCTCTTAAGGCGTTAGACTTAATCCAGTACTTTCTTTTTTTTTTTCTTTTTTTTTTTTTTGAGACGGAGTCTCGCTCTGTCGCCCAGGCTGGAGTGCAGGGGCGCGATCTCGGCTCACTGCGAGCTCCGCCTCCCGGGTTCACGCCATTCTCCTGCCTCAGACCCGAGTAGCTGGGACCACAGGCGCCTGTCACTGCGCCCGGCTAATTTTTGTATTTTTAGTAGAGACGGGGTTTCACCGTTTTAGCCGGGATGGTCTCGATCTCCTGACCTCGTGATCCGCCCGCCTCGGCCTCCCAAAGTGCTGGGATTACAGGCGTGAGCCACCGCGCCCGGCCTAATCCAGTACTTTCAAGTTATCTTTCCGCAATGGTTTTGGATACACTGATGTCATTCGGTGATTCTTTATCCATATGACATATGCCATTTTTCACTCATGAAAAGCGTTGTTTAAGAAGTAAATTTAAATGATAATTCATGTTTAGGGAAGAAATGATACTGGTGCTACAGTGAGTCCTGCATCCTAACAGCCTTATATAATTTCTGAAGGAAGTTTCACTGGATAAATCCACGTAGTTCATAAGAAATAGAGACTATTCCAGTCATAACCCAAAACAAAAATGCCCACTCGAGAATGGGGACTGTAGTTTAATTAGCATTATACTTTATATACAGCATCAGGAATAAATGTTACAAATACAAACATTTGAATTTTGGAAAGAATATTTAATATTTTATTGTTGCCCCAATGACTAGAGAATAGATGCCAAAATGCCTTAGCATATTTCCAGGCACATCGTCCTCCAAATCCAAAATACCTTAATATCCTCAGTTACATTGGCTGACGCCAAAGGTGAGAAATGTAAAATGTGATTAGACAATCACACCATAACTAAATCCAGTTTTGTTTCAATTCATGTTCTATGCTGTTTCCACTATGTAGTTTTTAAGTCAATTAGAGTTATGAGTTATCTATAAACAGTTGATATTATCAGCTTGTCATATTTAAAGTATTTTGTGTCTCAACAAGATCCTGAGTTCCTGGAGAGAAGGCACTGTAGTCTATTCACCTCAGCCTAGTCAGTCCCCTTAAATACACAGCACAAGTGTGAAAAAATAGAGGAAAATAGACAGTCATAATTGTAATATTTTAGTCCTCTATTTAACAAATGTTTATTGAGTGCTGACCATATACCCAAGCACTGTCCCAGGCAGTGAGGACGCAGTGGCCTATGGAAGATGCTCTTGAGGAATTCATGATTGATCAAGCACTGTCCCAGGCAGTGAGCACACAGTGGCCTGTAGAAGATGCTCTTGAGGAATTCATGATTGATCAAGCACTGTCCCAGGCAGTGAGGACGCAGTGGCCTATAGAAGATGCTCTTGAGGAATTCATGATTGATCAAGCACTGTCCCAGGCAGTGAGGACGCAGTGGCCTATAGAAGATGCTCTTGAGGAATTCATCATTGATCAAGCACTGTCCCAGGCAGTGAGGACCCAGTGGCCTATAGAAGATGCTCTTGCAGAATTCATGATTAATCAAGCACTGTCCCAGGCAGTGAGGATGCAGTGGCCTATAGAAGATGCTCTTGCGGAATTCATGATTGATCAGCTCATTCATTCTTTCAAAGATACTTATTAAACACTCACTATATGCTGGGAACTGTGCTATCACTGGGAATGAGAGGGAGAACTTAGTTAACTTCCTACCTCGAGAACCTTGTAGTGCATTAGGAGAAGTAAATAAATGAGTAGATCACCACACTTTCTTCAGTGTTGGGATAGGGATAAATATGAGGCTTTAGGAAACACATAAGATGGGCTGCTAATCCACATGTGGGCAGAGACAGGAAAAGAAATGCTTTCTGGGGAGTCTGGTGCTGGCATAGGAAGTCCTAGACTACCATCCAGGCGGGAGCAACGGAGAAGGTAGATTTGTGGTGGCTGGGAGTGGACGGTGAGTCCAAGCCAACTCAATGGCATGTGCAAAGGTGAATATGGACAGATAGCATGCTCCATTATGAGAAATAAAAATAGCTAAACATAGCTGGATAACAGGGAAATAAAGCCCAGTGTAAACAAGTTTGAAGCTGCAACATGAAGGTGGGGGCCAGATCGCAAAAGCCCTGCATCCTTGTGAGGCACTTTGGATGTTTTCTAGAGGGTAATTGGAAGCCATGATCACTGCAGACAAATGTTAGTAAATGGTAGTCTGATGTTTAAATAAGTGTGCACATTTTCTCAAATTCCATAAATACTTTTTGAAAAATTCTTGTACTTAAAACATTATATCAGACTCCATACAGAACAAAAACCAATAATTTATTTTAAATCTTGTCCTCCGGTAACACACACTTTGCTAGGGGCATGAGCTGAGCACACAGATAAGTACATAGTGACAGAATATAAAACTCCAAGAATGAGACAAGTCTTAATGGAGAGGAAGAATGCACGTAATTTTGATGAAAAAGGGAAACTTCAGGGTTGCGTTCGAATTAGGACTTGACGGATGGATTTTAACAAAAAGGGTTGGAGTAGAGGAACCATCATGAACAACAGCATTAATGGAAACAAGTTGCAAAGCAAGAGTCATGAATCAGCCAGGAGTCCAGTTTTGGCCTGAGTGTGTATAGTATGTTGATGTTGGCTCGCACTGGGGTTTTGTTTCTGCCTCCCTTCTGCCCGGAAGCCTCTGCTGAAACTTAGCGTGGTTGGCTTCCTCTTTACATTCAGATCTTAGCTCAAATGTCTGTTCTGGAGAAAGGCCATCACTGGCTAACTATCTGAAATGGATCCTTCTCTCCTCATTCGTCCTCTATTGCATCGTCCTGTTTTGTTATTCTTTTAGCTGTTTGTCATCAACCTCTCCTTTTTGTAATGTAAGTGAGATGGAAGTGGGAGCTCATATGTGATGTGTGTCACTACTATAACTATAGACATGCAGTAGGCCCTCAGTACATATGTATATGATATTAAATGAAATCAATGAGTGACTAAGTAGATAAGATGCTAAAACAGGTGGGGGTCACAGCATAGGAAGGTGGTATGCGGCTGGGCGCGCTGGCTCATGCCTGTAATCTCAGCACTTTGGGAGGCCGAGGCAGGTGGATCATGAAGTCAAGAGACCGAGACCATCCTGGCCAACATGGTGAAACCCTGTCTCTACTAAAAATACAAAAATTATCTGCTCTTAGTGGTGCGCACCTGTAGTCCCAGCCACTCAGGAGGCTGAGGCAGGAGAATTGCTTGAACCCGGGAGGCGGAGGTTGTAGTGAGCCGAGATCACGCCACTGCACTCCAGCCTGGCGACAGAGTGAGACTCTGTCAAAAAAAGAAAGAAGAAAGAAAGGTGGTATGCTGGCAGAAGTCATCACTAGAGCAGTGCCGATAGTGGCAGGTGGGGGTGGGATTTGTAGGGGAACAACCTGAATGGAGTTTTCTTTCTTGACACCTGGCAGCCACAGAGAGGTTGGGTTCAAGACTGGAAAGATTAGAGGGAAAGGGAACATATGGAAGATACCACAATAGCTGTGGCAAAAGAAAGTGAGCCCTGTGGTGAGAGTTGTGGCGGGAGAATTACGGAGGGGCACACAGGGCAGCTATGAGAGTTGTGGCTGTGGCGGGAGAATTACAGAGGGGCACACAGGGCAGCTATGAGAGTGGTGGCAGGAGAATTATGGAGGGGCACACAGGGCAGCTAGAAGGGCAAGATTTCATAACATTCCACATGCAGAGCAAGGAAGAGGGAAAGAGAGCTCTCAAGTCCCCAGGATGAAGAGATGAGAAAACTGATTTCATGGCTTTTTTTGGTTTGCTTTTGAGATGGAGGCTCTGTCACCCAGACTGGAGTGCAGTGGCACAATCCTGGCAAACTGCAACCTCCACCTCCAAGGGTCAAGTGATTCTCCTGTCTCAGCTTCTGGAGTAGCTAGGAGTGCAGGTGCCCACCACCACACCTGACTAATTTTTGTATTTTCAGTAGAGATGAGATTTCATCATGTTGGCAAGGCTGGCCTCGAACTCCTGGTCTCAAGAGATCCCTCTGCCTCGGCCTCTCAAAGTGCTAGGATTACAGGCATAAGCCACTGTGCTCGGCCCGAGTTCATGGCTATTTTTGCATCTGCAATGGTAGCAGCACCTTCACAAGATGATATCTATTTGGAAATTCAGCCACTGAGTCCAGGAGAGAGAAAGGGCTAAGACCCATCCATACCTGAACCTGGTTTGTGGCGATGTGTCCAGGCCTCCCACCATCTACCTAGTTTGAGAACCTCTCAAGAGTGGCTAGGGCTTCAACACTCAGGATTTTATTGCACGTATTACCATTTTCTTTATATCTTTTTTTTTCAATTGACAGAAGCATTTAAGCTAAGCATTTAAGCATTTAAGCTCAATCTTGACATCACAAGCTGACACCACACTGATTAGACAGGTTAGGTAGCAAGTTGCTCAAGGTTGCACAACTGGTATGTAGGTATCACTGTTGGTTTGCTGGGCTTCAAATTTCTAAGCCCTTAGTAAGCTAAAGACAGGCAGTAAGGAAAGAAGGAAGGAAGGAAGAAAGGGAGGGAGGGAGGGAGGAAGGAAGGGAGGGAGGGAGGGAGGGAGGGAGGGAGGGAGGGAGGAAGGAAAAAGAAAGAAAAGGGAGAAGGACATGTTTCAAAAAGGAATGAAGGCAAGTGTTTCAAATGCTGCAGGTAATCAATGAAAACAATAAGGAAATCAATGAAAATAACAGTCACTACATTTGGTAATTAAAATGTCATTATTGACCTTTGAGATAATAATTTTTTAAGAGCAAGAGAATGGTAGAAATCAGACTGTATCCTGTAAAAAGAAAATTATTATGTCTATAAATGGAGATTCTAGAAAAAAGCTAAAACCAAAGTAATAATGAACTGAGTATTCATCTTAAATTATCAGTTAATTTACATTACAAATTTTCATTCACAGATGCAATATGCACATACACATACATTAATGAGGCTGTAGTTCATTCTAATTTTTCAGAGTACTTTGTTTTCATTTTAACAGGAAGAGAGGGAAAGAGAGAGAAAGAATATTATAAGCAAGCTAATTTAAGATACATGCTAAAGGAGTCAGTGCACTATACAGAACAAAGTTTAAAAAAGTAACAAGACTTTCTTCAAAAATATAAGTTAACATCATGCAGAGAGTCCACCATTTATCTTCATTTCTGGGGTCAGAAGCTGAATTCAATTGTAATCCAAAACTTGGCAGTAGAATGACCTTTCAGGTGAGCTGCCCTAGTCTCTGAGATGTCCTTTGATGCTTCCTAGTCTAAATGTTAATGTTTTAAGAAATAAGACCTTATCTTTTTTGTTAGAATTCTCCTGCAATAGCTATTTTTCTGAGAAAAAAGTATTGGTTCATTTTGAATATGTATCCCCTTTTAAAAGGTAATATCTCTGTTTGACCCTAGTTTATAGTTTTTGTGGCACATGAGGTAAGCTTAAATGTCATTGGATGTATATTTACATAAAATTCAATCTTATTTCTTTGGGGAAATGTAAGAAGTTCACTGGGTCTTAAACTTGCAAAAGATCCTGGTTCCCCAAGACAACAGCAGTGACAGATAAATTGGGTTTTCTGATCTGGAACTCCCCACAGGCTCTGGTGAAAATACACAGAGTAGAATGCCTGCTTTGAAGAATTTGTTGGCTAAAGTGCTTATTTCCATACTTTCCATAATGTCTACCCTGAATTATAAGATATAGAAAATTTTAAAATATCCCAAACTTTAACTTTATATTTGAATTTTTATGAATGCATAAATGAATTTGTAAAGAGAAATATGTTTTGTCCAAGAATTAGAGTCATTGAAAAAGAGAAAAATGTGAAGCTGTTTAAACATGGACATTTACTTAGAATATCTATGAAATTAATTTTTTGTGGCAGCAAATAAGTTACTTAAACTTGTGTGGAGCCCTGAAGATCTAATGTAAATGCCTTTAAAACTATCTAGACTCAACGGAATCAGAGAGGGAAGAATACATACTATTTCTCTGTGATTGATTGGCAGGTCTGGAGAAAGACAACACAACTGATTTTTAAAAAATATTGGCTTATATTACATTCTAGTCCATTGTAATTTACTAGAAAAAGCAAATTGAGCTTTATATTTTATTCTGTTGTGGCTCAAGGCCTAATTCTTGAAAGGAATTAGCTTCTTAAATAGGCAGGGAGTATGAATAATTAAAAGTTATCATTTTAATCATTATCATAAAATGATCATTTCCAACATTCTGCCTTTTCTTTACATAGATGATCTCATTGGCCTCCAAGAACATAGTCACGTTTAGTTCCTATTTATTGACACCCATAGGCCACTTTGCACAAAGCTGCACGATGAGGCTCAAAATGAAAGGCACTCCTTCATTAAATTATTTCTATTTAATAAAAGGAAAATGTATTCATAATAATGGTATCGTAATTGGATTCTCACCTGAGAGTAGCTTGTAAGAATTATTGCCTTATTTAGTTTTCCAAGCATTTAACATTTAATTCTTTGGTGCCATTCCTCCCACTACCCTGCTTTCTCCATGATCTAGATGGGATTGGCTTGCGTTCAGATCACCTGCAGCCTATCTGCTAGAGGTTAGCAGCTCCCTCATGACACCAGTTAACCACTGATTCACAAACAGAATATTTTATTTTCCAGTAAGTTAACATTGAAAAGCCGTTTTATCATTAACATGCATAAAATTTTGTGCCAGATTAATGTTCTCCAAAATGTTTTTATTTCAGAACTTCATGTAATATAACGTTTCCCCATAATATTTCTATTGTCTCATTTTAGTCCTAATCTCACCGTCATCTCCGATAAGTACCAAAATCTTATATTTAACAGTCCATCCAGCCAGTGTCATCTCAATTTTTACAGAGTCAATGGATTTCAATTCGTTTCTTCTATCTCTTCTGTATTTTAGGCATAATGTTGGCATGTATGAATTTCAGAACAAGTGCATTTTTTTTTGCAGGCCAAATGAACAAATTATTTTTAAATTCCTGGGGAATTTTTCAACTTTTCTCTCTGTGTTTTTGATACCCTGACTCTGATTAAACTATTTTGTCTTAAAAACTCTGGTATTCGTGATGGTTACGCATTTCCTTTCCAGGAATACTATTACGGTTTATGTTTGGTATGGCTAAGCTAAAATTAATTGTGAAAGGCTTGTCACATAAGTGTCCTATTCTAAACACTCTGGTCTCTATCACAGGCATTGTAAAAGACAAGCAGTCCAGCCAAAGGGATTTGGCACTTGGATAAATACATGAGCTTTGGTCTAAAATGTTTCTTTGTTCTAGCCACATCTGTAGTTTTGTTCAGTATATTAAAATGACTTATTAATATGGGCTTAGAACAGAAATCGCATTTGAAACTTTGAAAGTACTTATCACCGTTTAATCAGCTTCCTCTAAAATCCGCGTAAAAGCCACGGAAGCTCAGTGCAATCACTTTGAAGTTTCCTCTCACCTCTTACAGATCAAGTGACTGGGGGAAAAGTGGGATTTTCACTACGAATATCAGATCGATAAGCGTGAATGGAATGCTGGAGTACTGGAACAATGCTGGCCATTTATATTGCTTCAGGACATCGCTAGATAGGCTGATATAAAGAAAAAAAAAAGCAAAAGGCAAAAAGCCTTCTCTGGTATTTCCAGGGTCGAAAGCCATTTTTAGTTACTCCTTTGTTAAGGGCCTGACTTCAAGAAATGATTGTATAATCTTATGTGAGTAGAAAGATAAATATGAAATAAGGAACAAGAACATGGATTTTTCTATGAAAAAGACAGTAGCAAAAAGCTTGCAGCATGAGTTGTCACACAAAGGGAAATCCAAATGGAGTGATGGAGAGTGGAGAGGAGTGAAAGGAGGCTGGGCCTTGGGTCTGGGTGAAGACGGGGTGACCCTGCACAGGGAAGGAGAAGATGGGGTGACGCTCCACAGGGAAGGGAGATTGGGCCTTGGGTCTGGATGAAGATGGGGTGACCCTGCACAGGGAAGGAGAAGATGGGGTGACGCTCCACAGGGAAGGGAGATTGGGTCTTGGGTCTGGGTGAAGATGGGGTGACCCTGCACAGGGAAGAAGACGATGGGGTGACGTTGCATAGGGAAGGAGAAGATAGGGTGACTTTATTTGCATGTTACTAATTATCTTAATGTGTGCCTTTATGGCTTTGCATTTTATATGTTGCTTAAGAATGTCTTACCAATTTCCAACTATCACAACCATTTGCCTATATTTTCTTATAATACTTCTACATTTTGCTTTCTAACATATTTGGCTCTTTAAAGTTATTTTGGGGTGGGTTATTTCCAAATTAGGAGAATAAGATGATTTGGAGCACAAATAAGAGAAAATACAGGAGCTGCCATTTTGTGAAATTCTGTCTGGAGCCCAGCATTGAAAGATTTGTCTCTCATTGATAACATCTTTATTGATGCTTGGAGGTTATGAAAACAGCACCATGATCTGAAAAAGGGAAACTACACAGAGCTGAAGTGCTGGGCAAAGGGGCACAGTATGATATAGTGTAGGAGATCGCTCCATAAAGTGGTGTTCATAGGTTAATAGTTCATGGTTTAATTAGTACATTCAAAGTGTACAATGTTGACTACCAGAACACAAACAGATACATAGATTTTGTAAGCATAAATGTGATTCATTTTTTACAGATATACAGTCTACCCTTGAACAATGCAGGAGTTAAGGTCACTGACCCCTCACATACCCTAAAATCTTTGTATACTTTTTGACTTCTCAAAAACGTAATTGCTAATAGCCTACTGTTAACTGGAAGCCTTACAGATAACATAAGCAGTCAATTAACACACGTTTTCTAGGTTATATGTATTAGATACTATCTTCCAATAAAGTAAGCAAGAGAAAATAAAATATTTTTGAGAAACTCATAAGGAAGAGAGAATGTATTTACTACTTATGAAATGGAAGTGTATCACCATAAAGGTTTGCATCCTTGTCTTGATCACCTTGAGTAGGCTGAGGAGGAGGAAGAAGAAGGGTTGGTCTTGCTGTCTCAGGGCTGGCAGAGGCAGAAGAAAACTCACAAATAAGTGGACCCATGCAGTTCAAGCCCATGTCAAGGGTCAACTACATATCTTTCTTCACCTTTGTGACATTAAGTTGTAATATTTGAGAAGTATATCATGCAGGCAGTCTGTATATTCCTGCAGTTTCTTCCTCTTGGCTCCAAACTGTGTTTGATAGGCACCACAGCCTAGCCAGAGAAATGGAAATTTGGTCTCCAGTTCTAATTGTGAATGTAAAAAGAGTGAGGCCACAAGAGTATTCAACAATCAGAATGCAAATCTAAGCCAAACTTAGGCAGAAGCTATGCCCCCAGATCAGTGGATGGTGTTTCTTAGGGGGTAATAGGTACTAAAGCGCTCCTCTAAGCTCTAGAATCTTTACTCTATTAGTAAATATGACTTGGAGGACAAAATAGATAGCAGTTGGGGCCCTACCCTTTGACTGTAAGCTTTGCTATATTCTACATCTCACGAACCAGATTGACTCAGCTAAAGAAGCTACCTGTGTCTACCAGTTGACGTGTGTCATCAGATTGAGTTTGTCTTACTCTGTTTTCTGTAGCTATAACAAAATACCTGAGACTGAGTAATTTTAAAGAAAATACGTTTATTTACTTTATGGTTTTGGAGGCTGGGAAGTCCAAGAGCATGGAGCTGACATCTTGCAAGGGCCTTATTGCTGTGTCATAATATGGTGGAGGACATCGCATGGCAAGAGGGCAAGAGCATGCGTGTCAACTCAGCTCTTTCTTTCTCTTCTTATAAAGCCTCCAGTCCCATTGTGGGGGCCCCACCCTCAGGACCTTATTAATCCTAATTACCTCTTAAATGTTCCACCTCCAATCAACGTATAAATTTAGGGATTAAGATTCCAACACATAAAATTTTTGGGACACATTTAAACCATAGTACAGTGGAAAAACAAAAAAAGAATCAAAGCTGATATGAAATCTGGTTATAATTGATAGGAATTCTTAATAAGAGATAAATCTGGATCTAAACTATTTCTTATTGTGATGATTTAAGATGAACATTATAAAATCTTGTCTCTAAATTTGACAAAAATTTGATATTTGTATATGTGTTATTTCTTGAATTCTTATAATTTTTCTTTCCATAAAAGAGCAGAGCTGGACTATCTTAAATAGCAACTATTATTATGGCTTGAATTTCTCTACTCTGCATATAGAAAAATGATATAAGAAATTTTATGTTAGTTGGAGAATAACCTCCTAATGAGTACCATTTCAAAAGTGGTTGATAGCTAATGTTTATGCTAATAATTTATATCAAATTTACTCATATCTCTAATCTCTAAAATAAATTGATTTTAGATGTGTATATAATTTATAGGTATATGAAAATGTAACCTATATAGCACCTTAAAATTGTGAAAATGCATTATTCTGAATTTAAAAAGTTCCTTGAGATCAAGAAATACATTGATCTTTACTCTTTCTTACTTATTACCTGATAAAGCCTACACCTAACATATCTATAAGATACATAAAGAATATTATTTCTAACTAAATCTCAGTGTTAGACATTGTCAAATTTTAATTAGCAAATCTCTTACCCTATCTTTATTAGTTCTATTCGAAACTACCATTAGAGAATAGTATAAACAGCTCTATGCAAATAAACTAGAAAATCTAGAAGAAATGAATAAATTCCTGGACACATACACCCTCCCAAGACTAAACCAGAAAGAAGGAGAATCCTTGAATAGACCAATAACAAATTCTGAAATTGAGGCAGAAATAGCCTACTAACCAAAAAAGCCCAGGTCCAGATGGAGTCACAGCTGAATTCTACCAGAGGTACAAAGAGCAGCTGTTGCCATTCCTTCTGAAAGTATTCTAAACAACAGAAAATGAGGGACTCCTCCCTAACTCATTTTATGAGGCCAGCATCATCCTGATACCAAAACCTGGCAGAGACAAAATAAAAAAAGAAAATTTCAGGCAAATATCCCTGATGAACATCGATGTGAAAATCCTCAATAAAATACTGGCAAACCAAATCCAGCAGCACATCATAAAGCTTATCCACCACCATCAAGTCAGCTTCATCCCTGGGATGCAAGGCTGGTTCAACATATGCAAATTAATAAACATAATCCATCACATAAACAGAACCAATGATAAAAACCACATGATTATCTCAGTAGATGCAGAAAATCCCTTCAATAAAATTCAACACCTCTTCTGCTAAAAACTCTCCATAAACTAGGTATTGATGGAATATATCTCAAAATAATAAGAGCTACTTATGACAAATCCACAGCCAATATCATACTGAATGGGCAAAATCTGGAAGCATTCCCTTTGAAAACCGCCCAAAGACAAGGATGCCCTCTCTCACCACTCCTATTCAACATAGTATTGGAAGTTCTGGACAGGGCAATCAGGCAAGAGAAAGAAAGAAAGGGTACTCAAAAAGAAAGAGAGGAAGTGAAATCTCTGTTTGCAGATGACATGAATGTACATTTAGAAAACCCCGTCATGTCAGCCCAGAATCTCCTTAAGCTGATAAAGAACTTCAGCAAAGTCTTAGGATACAAAATCAATGTGCAAAAATCACAAGCATTCCTATACACCAATAATAGACAAACAGAGAGCCAAATCATGAGTGAACTCCCTTTCACAATTGCTACAAAGAGAATAAAATACCTAGGAATACAACTTACAACATATGTGAAGGACATCTTCAAGAAGAACTACAAACCACTGCTCAAAGAAATAAGAGAGGGCACAAATAAATGAAAAAACATTCCATGTTCATTGATAGGAATAATCAATATCATGAAAATGGCCATACTGCCTAAAGTTATTTATAGATTCAATGCTATCCCCATCCAGCTACCATTGACTTTCTTCACAGAATTACAAAAAACTACTTTAAATTTCATGTGGAACCAAAAAAGAGCCTGTATAGCCAAAACAATACTAAGCAAAAAGAACACGGTGGGAGGCACCATGCTACAGGACTTCAAACTATATTACAAGGCTACGGTAACCAAAACAGCATGGTACTGGTACCAAAACAGCTATATAGACCAATGGAATAGAACAGAGGCCTCAGAATTACCACCACACATCTACAACCATCTGATCTTTGGCAAACCTGACAAAAAGAAGCAATGGGGAAAGGATTCCCTATTTAATAAATGGTGTTGGGAAAACTGACTAGCAATATGCAGAAAACTGAAACTGGACCCCTTCCTTAAACTTTATACAAAAATAACTCAAGATGGATTAAAGACTTAAAAGTAAGACCTAAAACCATAAAAGCCCTAGAAGAAAACCTAGGCAGTACCATTCAGGATATAGGCATGGGCAAAGACTTCTTGACTAAAACATAAAATGCAATGGCAACAAAAGCCAAAATTGACAAATGAGATCTAATTAAACTAAAGAGCTTCTGCACAGCAAAAGAAACTATCATCAGAGTGAACAGGCAACCTACAGAATGGGAGAAAATTTTTGCAACCTATCCATCTGACAAAGAGCTAATATCCAGAATCTATAAATAACTTAAACAAATTTACAAGAAAAAAACAAACAACCCCATCAAAAAGTGGTCAAAGAATACAAACAGGCACTTTTCAAAAGAAGACATTTATGTGGCCAACAAACATATAGAAAAAAGCTCATCATCACTGGTCATTAGAGAAATGCAAATCAAAACCACAATGAGATACCATCTTACGCCAGTTAGAATGGCAATCATTAAGAAGTCAGGAAACAACAGATGCTAGAGAGGATGTGGAGAAATAGGAATGCTTTTACATTGCTGTTGGGAGTGTAAATTAGTTCAACCGTTGTGGCAGACAGTGTGGCAATTCCTCAAAAATCTAGAACCAGAAATACTCTTTGACCCAGCAATCCCATTACTGGGTATATACCCAAAGGATTATAAATCATTCTACTATAAAGACACATGTACACGTATGTTTATTGCAACAGCATTCACAATAGCAAAGATTTTGAGCCAATCCAAATGCCCGTCAATGATAGACTGGATAAAAATAATGTGGCACATATACACCAAGGAATACTATGCAGCCATAAAAAAGGATGAGTTCATGTCCTTTGCAGGGACACGAATGAAACTGGAAACCATCATTCTCAGCAAACTAACACAGGAACAGAAAACCAAACACCACATATTCTCACTCATAAGTGGGGTTGAACAATGAGAAAATATGGATACAGGGAGGGGAACATCTCACACCAGCATCTGTTGTGGGGTGGGGGGCAACGGGAGAGATAGCATTAGGAGAAATACCTAATGTAGATGATTGGTTGATGGGAGCAGCAAACTACCATGGCACATATATTACTGCACATGTATCCCAGAACTTAAAGTATAATAAAAACAAATAAATAGTGCTCACTTCGGCAGCATATATATTAATAAATAAATATTTAATTTATTTAATACATTTAAATGTTATTTAATAAAATGTGTTTTGTTAAATAAAATTAATAACTTTATTAATTAAATTTTGTTAAATGGATTAATAAAATTATTGGTTAAATTGATAATTAAATTATTAATTAAAATTTATTAAACAAATTTATAAATAATTTAATAATTTAAAAAATGAATTTAATAAAAATGTATTTAATAAATTTAACACATTTACCTTTCATCTTAGTGTCTCTTTTTACATTTTTGCTTACAGTTTAAGTTGTATTTTTCAAAGAATTTATTCATTTATCTCAGTTTTCAAAATTAGTGGGATAAATTTTTCTTAATATTTTCTTTCTTTCTTTTTTTTTTTTTTGAGACAGTTTCACTCTTGTTGCCCAGGCTGGAGTGCAATGGCGTGATCTCAGCTCACCGCAACCTCTGCCTCCCAGGTTCAAGCGATTCTCCTGTCTCAGCCTCCTGAGTAGCTGGGATTACAGGCATGCGCCACCACGCCTGGCTAATTTTGTGTTTTTAGTAGAGACGGGGTTTCTCCATGTTGGTCAGGCTTTTCTTGAACTCCTGACCTCAGGTGATCCACCCACCTAGGCCTCCCAAATTGCTGGGATTACAGGTGTGAGCCACTGCACCTGGCAATATTTTCTTAATATTATTTTAATTTCTGCAAAATCTAGTTTTAATTTTTCTTTCATTCTTGATATCTGCAATTTGTATCTCACTATATGTTTTTGATCTGTCTAGCTGGGAATTTGTCATTTGGACACTTACAGGAAATCAGCTTTTTCCAATGTATATTAAAAAAATTAAGAGGAAGTTTTAGACTGGGCATGGTGGCTCTTGCCTGTAATCCCAGCACTTTGGGAAACCAAGGCAGGAGTTTCACTTCAGGCCAGGAACTGGGGCTCAAGACCTGCTGAAGCAACATAGCTGAGACCTTGACGCTACAAAAAGTTAAAAATTAGCTATGCGTGGTAGCATGTGCCTATAGGATAGTTCTAGCTACTCAGGAGCCTGAAGTGGGAGGATTACTTTTGCCTAGGATGTCGAGGTTGCAGTTAGCTGTGATCTCACCACTGCACTCCAGCCTGGCTGACAGAGGGACACATTGTCTCAAAAACAAAGTATATGTTTCTATGTTTTAAATTTTTAAATGTAATTTTACCTTTAACATTTCTCCTATATTTTCCAAATAATTTCTGATGTCTGGTATTGTGTTTTACTTCCCGAAGATCTGAGTTTCCCTATGGTAACATTTCCCTTCAGTCTCACAGATGTCCTTTGATGCTTCTTTGTAGGACAGTTCTCTTTGCAACAAATTCTCTCCACCTGCATTTGTCTGAAGAAGTTTTTATTTAACTTTTATTGTTAAAGGACATTAATTTTCACTGAGTATGGAATTCCAAGTCTTTAGTATTTTTCTGTCAGCACTTTGAAAATATTGGCCCATTTGTTCCTCTATGTGTAACTCTCTATACACATATAAGATTTTGTTTAATTCTGCTTTTGATAATCATGACCATGATATGCCTGTGCATAGATTTCTTCACATTTACACTGTGTGAGTTTTGCTGGGATTCTTGAAATATAAATATACAACTTTTAATAATTTGGAGGAATACCTGGCTATGCTGTTTTTACATTTATGTTTATGTTATTTATTTATGTTTTGTCTGTCTTATTCTCGCTTTCCACTCCCTCCATCTGGGAATCCAACTATGCACAAGTTGGCACTTTTGGTATTGCCTCATTGGTTTCAGCCTCTTTTCAACACTTTTTCAAATATATTTCTCTCTTCTCTTCAGACCAGATCCTCTCCATTGAACTATCTTCATGTTTGCTGGTATTAATACCTTCCTTGGTCATCTCCATTTTGATCTTAATGCCATCCACTGAATATTGAATCTCAGATGTCATTTTTCGGCGCTAACATTTCCACTTGGTTCTTCTTAGCTTCTTTATGTCTCTGCTGAGAGTCTCTGCCCTCCATTGTGAGCCTGTCCCCTTCCTGTCATAGGTGTAGTAATAATATTTACTTTCATTCCTTTCTCTGCTAATTCCAACATCTGGTTCATTTTTGGATTGACTCCAATTTATTTTCTTCTCTCTTGAAAATGGTTGCATATTCATGGTTCCTTATATGTCAAGTAATTTTGTGTAGTATCTTGGACTTTGTTAATGTTATATTGTGAATCTTGATTCTGTTTTAGTGCCCCAAAATGTCTTAATATTTTTGTTTTAGGAGGTAATTAACTAGCTTGAACTCAAACTGCAAACTTTACTGCTTGGGTAAGAGCTTTTGTCTTTGCTCATTTATTTCTACTGTTGTAGTCTGGCTGGAAGCTGCATGATTGAAAAGTCAGCCAGAGACTTGGAAAGATTTCTTAAACAGAAGCTGAAGCCCCTGCCTGCTTCTTTGCTTCCTGGGACTGCCTCCTTACTTTTCAGAACCAGTAAGTCACCTCAACTCCATCCTCTTTATCCAGGCCAGAGGAACTGAAGAACTTCTCGTGTAGCATGTTAATGCAGACTTGTCTCATGCTAAAAATGGTCAAACAGCAAGCTCACCCTGTGTCGGTTCCATCTTCATTTTCCAAGTCTTCCCCTCCAGCAACTGCATAGTTTGTCAACTCTTCACAACTTTAGGGATGTCTTTGTTTATATACTTTATAATGTGTTGTTGCTATTAGTGGGAGATTTAGTCTAGTAGGAGCTGACCCATCCATGCCAACAACAGACTTCTAGAGCTGCACTTTTAACCATGAGTCTAACCAAATGGACAATAGTGACCATTCAGTCTGGAGTCTTTATGATGAGCTAGGTAGTATAGTTGGTGATGTTGCCTAAATTGCTTCAAGTAACCTTTACAACTGCATTACAAGGTAGTTATTCTTCGTTTCCCTTTTTTATAGAGTAATGAACTGAAGAATGTCATAATTGATTCAATTGCCTGTGATAACACAAGTGGAAGAATCATCTTTAAATTCATGTTTGTGTGATATCAAAGCCCACAGAGTTCTACCTACTGTATTGCACAGTTTAATTTACCTGATTGCCAGTCAAATATTTTGAATTATTGGATAGAAATTTTCCAAAGTTAGTTTAAGAAGATATTATTTACTAATTATTGTGATAAATTCCAAATCTCAGGGAAAATTTCGGCAATAAGCAAAGTTAACATATAACTGAGGGCAGGCTCACTATACATCTTTATAAAATTCTAATCATCTAAAAGAGTGAATTGAGTATAATAAGTACCTAGAAAAGCAATACATTAATTAAGCATTATAAAACTATAATGTTCTCAAAAAACTAAAACGTTTAATGATAAGACTCTGGATTTTGCCATCTATTGCCTACTAATTGTGTATGGCATTGAACAATGCATATGGTTCTCAAGTTTTTGAGAGATATAAGAAGTAAATAAAATAGCATAAGAAGGAATAAATGCCGGGAAAATAGGTCTCAATAAATATAACTTTCACAATTTATTATGATGAGATTTTCCACCAAACTACCTCTCTTCTGCAATTTATATAGAAAAATAAATCTTGAATTAATTGCCCACTGTCTTCCTGAATTCACTTCTGGAACAATTTTGATCCACTCCTCTGGTATCAAGCGATAGACAGGAGCCTCCCAGAAAACTGCCAGGCCGTGAAGTACAGCCAGGATAAGGAGAGGATCAGAGAAGAGAAAAACTAAGTTGAAACTCTAGGAATACATTGTGGAGAATACTGCCATGATGAGAACTCACTGAGTATAAAAACATCTTTGGAAATAAACTGGAAAAGACTGAAAGCAAACAAAAAAGAGAGAGAGAGAGAGAAAGAAAAAGTGAAAGGAAATGAGTAAGTTGTTTGCAAGGGAAAATCTCCTTTTGGGGAAGAGCTGGATTTCAATTATATTATTCTAATTAAGAAAATGTGATGAAATTGAAATTCAAAACTCCTGCTTTCCACGTGTTCTTTTCCTGTTTTATAACTAATATATTTGCAAATTTTAATAAATCACTACTATTTTGTTTATCTTTCTACTAATAAAACTTCCCTCCTCTCAGACATTGCTAATGTATATTTTTAAATATACTCCACAAATTGGAAAGTGTGTTACTATCTATATACAGTAGCCAGAGAAAACTAGTATAAAATATTTTCTTTCTTTACAAAAAATATTCTGCTGCACTAATAAAAGTTAACCTGAGATCTATTCTTTTTTCTTAATGGCTCACTCATTAAACAACTATGTGTTGAGTGTTTTCTACAGTCTAGTATTGCTGTAGTTACTGGAGACAGCTGGTAAAGTAATTCTAACTTACTGCCCAATAAAACTGGCTCCTACTGTTCTTTACGATTATTTCAGCACTCTTGAGCAATTTCATATTACCTAGTACAAAAATATCTATTAGCTTAGACATAAATATATGTGAAAATATATATATTTAAATCTAAAGAGATATTTTATTATTTCTATATAATACCCTTGTCTCAATATGTCACAAAGTCATGGACTAGGCAATCAGCCATATATCCTTCCGTCGTTTTCTTAATACCAAAATGGAAATTTATTATAGCAATGGAATATTTTGAAAATATATATGTATCAGTACTAATTAATCCTAATCTACACAGTGAATGGCTGACCTCCAATTTTTAACTGATTTCATTTTTTATTCAAAGCCCTGTAATTAAAAATACACATTTCTGTGGTTCGTATTTCAATTTTTCTAACTCGTTTTCTTAATATAAAAAATTCATTTAAGCATTCAATAAATTAGTATTTTATTAAACGAGTATTATTCCAACAAACCCTAAGCTTATTAGAAACTCTGTTTTATCCAGATGTTTATTTACTGAATTATGAGGGACATTTAATTTCCAGTCTAACTCTTTGGGCATATTTTTATATCAAAATTATCCCAAAAGTATAGATGAGAAAAGAGAAAGTAGAGCATGGCAGAGGAGAACAAAGTAGGTAAGAATTCTGAGGAGGAAAATACTTCTGCTGGTAAGTGAGCACCCAGGAATGTCCATTGAGGCAATAACAGTGATACGATTGCATGAACCATCATGGGCCATCCTGCTGTAACCTGTACTGTAAAGATGCTCATGTTTTATGTCAGTGAGAAAAAGGCATCTATTAAAAATGACCTGCTGAGTTTTTGTAGCTGCTGCTCTTGCTGTTGCAATGATGGTGATGGTAATTACTTTAATAAAACTGTGCACACTATCATTTTTGAAAAATGACTTAATTTTTAAATGAAATGGAACCATAAAACTTGCAGATTTAAGGAAAAATTGGATTTTCTGAAAACATAGCTATGTTTATTTTGAAAGCAAATAAAATTAAAATAAATCATATTCACTATCTTGATTGTGGTGGTTGTTTCACAGGCTTATAAATAGATGAAAACTTATCAAATTATATATTTTGAATATGTATGGTTTATGTCAATTCTATCTCAATAAAGCTATTATAGGCACACTGGGGTCTCACTTCAACATAAAACTGTTCTGAGGTCTTGTCCTTTGAAAAAGCCCTTTGGTGCCTTTCAAAATATGACAATAATCTTATCAGTCACTCGGTTATAAAGATCCCTTGACCAGCTTTATATTGAACTATACGACATGATAAATAGTTTTGTAATGAGGTTGTAATGAAAAAATAAATGCTGATGGTAATTTGAGTACTGTTTTATACTATATGATTGTCTCTTGAGTAAGCCAGGAATTGTAAAGATTTTATGAGTTCATGCTCATTCAAATAAAATAGTCATCTTGATGATATAAAGTCAGATTAGCCAATGTACAGATTAATAACAGCAAGATAGTAAAGTTATTTCATTTGTGAAAGCCACTTGAATTCTAAAAAGTCAGTGAAAATTATTTTCAAAATGTCTCTATTTTGCTGGGAATTAAACAACAATGGATAATATATTATGTCACAAAATGAGAATAATCCTTGAGATAATTAACTTGATCAACATTGAACTACAGGCAACCTGATTAGTTTCCTGAGTTTTGTGGAGGAAGAGTAAAAAATGAGGCTTAATGTACCACTTTAGTTATTAGGAAACCATTAAATTTACATAAAATATCTCTTATAGGAGTTGAGAATATAAAAAATACATACTCTCAAAGATAATAACTCTTGATTTACAGGTTATAGATCCCAGAACCTATATCTTAAAATAGTTTATGTATAGAATTTATGCCTTATATGAATGTAGAAAATGACTTCAGAGAGATTAATGTGATTGATAATTTGATAATTTACCATTGATATAAGTATTAGATTTAACCAAATGAAATTGCCATTATGGTATGTTCAGCATCCTTGGTCTACATCCGTAATTTCATATAGCTGCTTGTTATATTTGAGGATGAGTTTTAAGCCATATGGTCCTTTATTCTATTGATGTGATATATCACATTTGTTGATTTATGTATGATGAAGTATCTTTGCATTCCTGGGATAAACATTACTTGATCATCATGCATTATTTTTTTATTTGATGTAATATTTGGTTTGCTAGTATTTTGTTGAGGATTTTTTTATCTTTGTTCACTGGGGAACAGTGGCTTTGTTATACAATAGCCCAGTGAACAAAGATATAAAAATCCTCATCAATAGAATAAAGGACAAAAACCATATGATCATCTCAATAGATGCAGAAAAAAGCATTTGGTAAAATTTAATGTCCCTTGGGGATAACAACCCTCAAAAAGTTAGGCATGGAATGAACATATCTCAACATAATAAAGGCCATGTATGACAAACCCACAGCTAACATTACACTGAATGGGGCAGTGCGGAAAACCTTTCCTCCACAACTGGAAAAAGAGAAGTATGCCCACTTTTATCACTCTTATTCAAAAATAGTACTGAAAATCCTAGTTGGAGCAACCAGGCAAGAGAAAGAAATAAAAGGCATTCAAATAGGAAAACAGCAAGTCAAATGGTCTCTTTTTGCAGGTGACATAATCTTAGATATGCAAAAACATAAAGATTCTTCCAAAAAACTCTTAGAACTGATAAACAATTTTAGTAAATTTGCAGGATTATCGGGGGAACCAGCCCCCAATATTTCAACATAGGTTCTTTCTATTTTCCCTAGGTGTCGGCCGGTCTGAGAAATAAAGAGAAAGAGTACAAAGAGAGGAATTTTACAGCTGGGCCACCAAGGGTGACATCACATATCGATAGGTTTGTGATGCCCACCTGACCCGCAAACCAGCAGGTTTTTATTAAGGACTATAAAAGGGGAGGGGTGTACAAACAGGGAGTAGGTCACAAAGATCACATGCTTCTGAGGCCAATAAAGATTACCAGGCAAAGGGCAAAGCAAAGATCACAAGGCAAAGGGCAAAATTAGAGTTACTGATGAGGGTCTATGCTCAGCTATGCATGTATTGTCTTGATAAACATCTTAAACAACAGAAAACAGGGATCGAGAGCAGAGAACTGGTCTGACCTCAAATTTACCAGGGTGGGATTTTTTTCCCCACTCCAATAAGCCTGAGGGTACTGCAGGAGACCAGGGTGTATTTCAGTCCTTATCTCAACTGCATAAGACAGACACTCCCAGAGCGGCCGTTTATAGACCTCTCCCCAGGAATGCATTCCTTCCCTAGGGTATTAATTATTAATATTCCTTACTGGAAAAAGAATTCAGCAATATCTCTCCTACTTGCATGTCCATTTAGAGGCTCTCTGCCAGAAGAAAAATATGGCTCTATTCTGCACGACCCCACAGGCAGTCAAACCTTATGGTTGTCTTCCCTTGTTCCCTGAAAATCGCTGTTATTCTGTTCTTTTTCAAGGTGCACTGATTTCATATTGTTCAGACACACATGTTTTACAATCAATTTGTACAATAGTCGTCCTGAGGTGACGTACATGCTCAGCTTACGAATATAACAAGATTCAGAGATTAAAGTAAAGACAGGCATAAGAAATTATAAGAGTATTATTTGGGAACTGATAAATGTCCATGAAATCTTCACAATTTGTGTTCAGAGATTGCAGTCAAGACAGGTGTAAAAAATTATAAACATATTAATTTTGGGAACTGATAAATGTCCATGAAATCTTCACAATTTATGTTCCTCTGCCGCGGCTCCAGCCGGTCCCTCCATTTGAGGTCCCTGACTTCCCACAACACAGGATTCAAAATCAGCATACAAAAATCAGTAGCTTTGTTATACATCAATAACAAACTAGATGAAAAGGAAATCAAGAAGATAATCCCATTAAAATAGTTACAAAAAATAAAATGAAATACCTAGGAATAAATTTAGCTGAGGAGGTGGAATACTTCTACAATAAAAACTACAAAACATTGTTGAAGGTAAATAAAAAGGATGCAAACAAATGGAAAGATATGCTCATGCATCAGAATAATTGAGATTATTAAAAATTACCATATCACAGAAGGGAATCTGCATATTTATTGTAATCCCCATCTAAATACCAACATTATTCTTCACAGAAAAAAAATCTAAAATTTATGTGGAACCAAAAAATACCCCAAATAACCAAAGCAATACCAAGCAAAAAGAACAAAGCTGGAGCATCACACTACCTTGACTTTAAAATATACTACAAAGCTACAGTAATCAAAACAGTATGGCATTAGTATAAAACCAAATACATAGACCAAGGTAACAGAAAAAAGAACACAGAAATAAATTTAATCCACTTATTTATAGCAAAATTATTTTTGACAAAGGCACCAAGAACATTCATTGAGGAAAGGACAGTCCCTTCAGTAAGTGATGCTGAGAAAACTGGATATCCATGTGCAGAAAAAGGAAAACTAGATTCTTATCTCTCACCAAATACAAAAGAAAAAATGAAATCAAAATGGATAAAAGACTTAAACACAACACTGAAACTATAAAACTACTAGAAGAAAGCATAGGGGAAATGCTTCAGGACATTGGTCTAGGCAAAGATTTTTATAGCTAAGACTTGAGAAACACAGGCACCAAAACAAAAAAAAATAGACAAATGGAACTATATTAAACTAAAAACCTACTGTACAGCAAAGAAACAATCAACAGAGGGAAGAGACAACATGTGGAATGGGAGAAAATATTTGCAAACTATTCATCTGACCAGGGACTAATATCCAAAATATGTAAGGAACATGAACAACTCAATGGGAAAAAAATAATAATTCCATTAAAAAGTGGGCAAAAGATCTGAATAGACATTTCTCAAAAGGAGACATGTAAACGGTCAACAAGTGTATGATAAAATACTGAACATCACTTATCACCAGGGAAATGCAAATCAAAACTACAATGAGATATCATCTCACTCCAATTAGAACAGCTATTTTTGGTCAGGGCATGGTGGCTCAGGCCTGTAATCCCAGCACTTTGGGAGGCTGAGGTGGGTGGATCACCTGAGGTCGGGCGTGAGAGACCAGCATTACCAACATGGAGAAACCCCATCTCTACTAAAAATACAAAATTAGCTGGATATGGTGGCACATGCCTGTAATTCTAGCTACTCAGGAGGCTGAGGCAGGAGAATAGCTTGAACCGGGGAGGCAGAGGTTGTGGTGAACTGAGATGGTGCCATTGCACTCCAGCCTGGGCAACAAGCAAGGTCTCAACAACAAAAAAAGAATAGCTATTTTCAAGACAAAAAAAAATGCTTGTGAGGATACAAAGAAAGGAGAACTCTAAAACACTATTAATGGCAAAGTAATTTAGTACATCTATTGTAGAAAAAAATATGGAGGTTTCTCAAAAAACTAAAAAATAGACCTACCTTATGATTCCACAATCACACTACTGAATATTTATACGAGAGAAAAGAAACAGTATATCAAAGGGATAACTGCACCCTCAGGTTTACTGAAGTGCTATGCACAATAGCAAAGATATGGAATCAAATTAAGTGTCTATCAATGAATGTATAAATAAAGAAAATGTGGTATATATAAACAATGCAATAGTATTTAGCCATAAAAAGGAATGAAATCTAGTCATTTGCAGCAACGGGGATGGAACTGGAGAACAGTATGTTAAGTGAAAAAAGCCAGGCACAGAAGGACAAATATGACATGTTTTTACACATATGCAGAAGCTAAAAACGTTGATCGCATGGAGGTAGAGAGTAGAATGATAGTTACCACAGGCTGGGAAATGGAGTGTGTGTTTGAAGTAGGGGGCAATGACAACGGTTTGGATAAAGGTTAAAAACATACAATTAAATAGAAAAAATAATTTCCTGTATGAGATAGCTAAGGGTGACTATAGTTAACAATAGTTTACTGTATATTTCAAAATAGCTGGGAGATATTTGAAATGTTTCCAGCAAAATATTCAAAGTGGTGGATATTGTAAATACTCTGATTTAATTGTTACACATTGTATGCATGTATCAAAAGGTCACTTGTACTCCATAAATCTACAGTTATTATGTGTCAATAAAAATTAATGAATAATTTTTAAGCAAATAACTAGTGTTGGTAAAGAATGTGGAGAAACTGAAACCCTTGTGTATTTTTGGTAGGAAGATAACATTATGCAACTCTATGGAAATGAGCATGGCAATTAAAAAAATTAATCCCAGTTTTGAGTACATATCCACAAGAATTGAAAGAAAGTTCTCAAAGAGATTGTTGCATATCCACGTCCATTGCAGCAATAATTGCAATAGTCAAAAAGTAGAAGCAACATAAATGCCCCTCAAGAGATGAATGAATAAAGAAACTATAACATGTACATACCATGGAGTACTATTCAGTTTTAAAGGAAGGAAATCTTGCCATATGTGACAACTTGGAGGAGCCTTGAGGATACTGTGCTAGGTAAATTAAGCCGGTCACCAAAAGACAAATGCATCATTTCACTTATTTGAGGTATCCAAAGTAGTCAAGCCCATAGAAACAGAAGGTAGAATGATGGTCATCAGAATCTGAAGCAGGGGTATCCAATCTTTTAGTTTCCCTGGGCTACATTGAAAGAAGAAGAGTTGTCTTAGTCCACACATAAAATACACTAACACTAATGATAGCTGATAAGCTTAAAAAAAAGGTCCATGCATAAATATTAAATCTCATTATGTTTTAAGAAAGTTTACGAATTTGTGTTGGTCTGCATTCATAGCCATCCTGGGCTGCACAGGTTGGACAAGCTTGGTCTAAAGGGAGGCCACAGGGAGTTGTTCAATGGATCTAGAGTTCCCATTTTGCAAGATGAAAAGTTATACAGATATGTTGCACATTGATGTGCATATAGTTAACACTACTGTACATTTAAAAAATAGTTGACATGATAAATTTTATGTGTTGTGTTTTTGACCACAATTTATAAATGCCACAATGCCTCCATAACTACTAACGTGTTATGCTGGCATCTCAATGAAAAGATAATTAAATGGAATAGAATACAACCTCCACGAATAGATTCAACTACAATCAGAAATTCAGTGTATTATGGTGATTTATCAGTCATAGGGACAAAATGTAATCTTCATAATAAATGGAGATGGACAACTAGACAGCCATTTGGAAAGGGTAAATTTAGATCCAATCACCACCCTCTATAAAACACCCAAGTGGATGAGAGTTCTAAATTTAGATGTTTAGACACAAAAATCCTACAAGAAAACATGTGAAAATATTTTTATAATCTAGCTACAACGAATGACTTTCTAACTATAATAATCCAGCTGCAATAAAATATAAGATTAATTAATTAATGTTCATAAATATAAGAAGTTACATGGCTAAAACAACGTAAGTAATGTCAAAAGACAAATGATACTCTGGGGAAGATATTTGCAAGATATATCACAGATTAAAGGCTAATACCCCTCACTTAATTTTACAAAAGCTTTTTTAAAATTTAGGAGACAAACTAGCAAAAATGTTATAGAAATTTTAAAATTTGAAATTTTATATAAGAATGGACAAAAATATAATTTTCAAAAAGATATTAAAGACCCTTTGTATGTATATAAAAATACACCCAACTTCACTTATAATAACAAAAATGAAAATTAAAATAATACTCAGGTACCATTTTTTACCCATCTCCGATCAGATTGACACAAATTGAAAAGCTTAACAATATACTCTGTGGTGAGAATGTGGAAACACAGTCACTCCCAACATTGCTGTTTGAAATGCAAAGTGGAATACCTGAGGAGGGAAATTTGCATTTGTACAACAGAATTATGTATGCACTTACCCTTCCACTTAGAAATCACACACTTAAGAATTGATTCCACAAGTAAACCTCCAACAATATACAAATGCACATGCTCAATGTTAGTCATTGCAGTATGATTTGTAATTGTAAATATATTGGAAACTATCGGAAAACCTAACCATGGGAGATTTATTATATCTACTTCAGCACATGCATACAACGGAACACTGTGCATCTGTAAGAAAGGATGAGGAAGGGCTCTGTGAATTGACAGTGACTTCTTTGCAGGAGATATTACCAGATGAAAAAAATCAAAACGTAAAAGGAAGCCATAAAAAATATCCTAACTTTTGTGTGACAAAGAGAAAAACATGCATATATCTGCTTATTGCTACCAAAAGGAACAGATAAATTAGAAAACAATGATGTTGTTTAAAGTGTTGGAGAGGAGTATGAATGGGAAAGGACAGGGTTGGGGTGGGCCTTCTCTGAGTATAAGTTTTTGTGCCTTTTGACTTTGGATAGTGTCTTGGTCTATTTCGCTTTGCTGTAGCAGAATACCTGAGACTGGGTAATCTATAAACAACGAAAGGCTTATCTGGCACGTGATTCTGGTGGCTGGAAAATCCTGGATGGGGCAACTGCATCTGGTGAGGATCTCGGGCTGCTTCCACTTATGCTGGAAAGTGGAAGGGGAGCCAGTACATACAGAGAGATCGCATGGTGACAAAAGAAACTGGACAGTGAAACCAAGAAAACCAGCCTTTTTTTTTTTTAACAGTCTTCTCTCGGGGGACCTAATCCCTGTTCTTAGGAGAGCTCATTCACCCCAGTGGGAGGGCATTAATCTAGGCCCTACCTTGAAACACTGCCATATCACGGATCACATTTCAACATGAGTTTTGGTGAGGACAAACCATATTCACACCACAGCAGATAGCATGTTAATACTACATATATTTAAAATATATTTAAATCAATCAGAATGAGAAAGGAACAAAAGAAAACTCTAAAATATAAGTAAACTTTTAAAAATGAACTTAACTTTATTTCAAACGACTATCACAAGCACCCTGAAGGAGAAAGACAAAGAGACATACAGGGCCACATAGCTTAGAGAAAACTAATCCTATTAACTTATAAATACAATAGTTTATTATACTCAGTTGTAAAGAAAAGTTGGAGTACAGCAAAAGCAGTTGAAAATAAGTTATTTTGAGGTAGGTTAATGTAGAGGTCCTGGTGGAGCAATACTAAACCTTTTGAGATGTATTCCAGGATTGAACCATAGATCAATGTGTTGAGGTGGTGGGGAGCTCAGGCTGCCCATGTTGAAGAAAGGGCATCTAAGTACGGAATGGAGGAGAGTGAAGAAAACCCTGCTGGTAGGATTGGAATTGGAAGTATTGCTGTGAGCTCATGATTCCTAAAATACATATGTGTATGTGTATATTCATGACTGTTTATGTGTGTGTGGACATACATACGTACGTGTGTGTGTGCATGTATTTCCTAGGTCTAGTCTCTGAAAGGACCATGATGCAAATGCACTCCAGTAACAACGGACATACCGAATGCCAAGATCTGGAAACCAGAGTTCCTCAGGAAAATGGCTCGTTACAGGGCTGGGACAAGACAATACAAGATGAGCCAGGTCTCTAGTTCTGCCAAAAAGTAAAGAAGTGCTTAAAAAATGACGGGGTCTATTGCGGGAGCCAGCTTGAGTAGCTTCCCACCACAGCGTCCCAATGAGTGCATCTGAATGATACACCATTAAAAAATAGACTGAGTCCACATTAATAATGAATAAATAAATGGGGTTAAGAGGGGGGCTGTTTGTTGCAGTAGAATGGTTAAGGGTGACTTCAAGAAGCGAAAGAGGTGCTGGGTGAACGATCATCCTTTGGCAACCACCAGGGCAAGAGTGCGTTAGGCAAGGCTTCTGGATGGGTGCTAAATCTAGGGAGCGGTTTCATGAAGAACAGGGTATTTGCATTGCCTTAAAGAATCTCCCCTCAATCTGAAATTAGGTGGAAGGGAGAAAAAGCAAATAGTAATTATACAACGGAGAAATTTGGCAACACTTTGACCAGGTGATGAAATTAACATCACCAATGAAAGAGCGCATGGCAGTGATGGGCCTCCAGATGTGCTACACTGTGAAGAGTGTAATGCTAAATATTTCATATTTGGACCAGGAATACATCATTTCAGTGTAATTATAATAATTAGACTAACCAACAGACTCAAAATGAGGACAAGTCTGTTAAAATGGAGGGATTTAAAAAAATCAAATAATGCAAGATAAAGAAATATGTGGATATGCTCTAGATTAAAGGAAGTTAAAGAGACATGGCAACTAAATGTAATTCTTGACCCCAACTGGACCCGGTTCTGAAGGGGGGAAATGGTATAAAGGACATTATTAAGTCAAATAGAATAAAACGAATATAAATAAGAAATTAAATGTAGTCTATCAATAGAAATTGATGAAGACGATCCCTGTTCCTAGGTAATGTAATGTACACCGAGGAAGTCCCAGGTAAAGGGCCATGATGTGTTACACTTGAATAGTTCAGAGAAAAAAAATTCACAGAAAGAGAACATGGGCAAATTACAATGCAAATGGAATAAAATGTTAATATTTGAACCTTGGTGAAAGGCATACACATGTTCTCTGTATTAATTTTATGTTTGAAATTTTTATAAATCTGAAATTATTACTAGTTTTTAATGGAGCTATATAACATCACTGTGAATGTGAATAATATATATTGGGAAACCTTCTATTTGTCTCAAGTGAACATGTAAATAAAACAGAAACCCAATTACATTCCTTTTGGTGCTTTAAAAAATGTTATGGCAGGGCACAGGGGCTCAGGCCTGTAATCCCAACACTTTGGGAGGCCGAGGCAGGAGGATCATGAGGTCAAGAGATTCAGACCATCCTGGCCAACATGGTGAAACCCGGTCTCTACTAAAAATACAAAAATTAGCCGGGCATGGTGGCACACGCCTGTAGTCCCAGCTACTCGGGAGGCTGAGGCAGGAGAATTGCTTGAACCCAGGAGGCAGAGGTTGCAGTGAGCCGAGATCGTGCTATTGCACTCCAGCCTGGCAACAGAGTGAGACTCTGTCACACACACATACACACACACAAAAGTTACAAAATGGTTCTAAAGTTGATCAACAGAAGCAAACAGGCAAGAATAAGTAGACATTTATTGGAAAACACAGTGAGGAAGACAGGATACCATATGGTAAAAGAGATCATGAAGCCCACATACAAAGACACAGTGCAGCTGCTGAAAACGAGACACACAATGAGCAGAGCAGAGCAGAGCAGAGCATCCCGCCTTGACCTAGGCCTACTACGTGTAAATAGAGCATTCTAAAATTAAACAGTAATACATGCCAATAGTGCTTTAGTGCATTATTTATCCATATGTTTAGGAAATGGTTAATTAATTAGAAAAATGTGTAATGGATTCTTCACCTATCCCATAAAATAGCATGATTGAGCTTTCATTTTTTTAATGCAGAAAAGACCATTAGTGAACATTAAAAAAGCTTTTGCAAATTAACTTTGGTAAAACATGATGAAAAACTTAATAGTTGTCTAGTGATAGATGATTACAGCTGCACAGCTGCACTCCTAAATAACCAACAGAAATATCATAAATAGATATTTGTGAAAATAAGAAAGGGAGTTATCTGATAGGAAAACAACAAAAAAATTGTTTCCATTAATGATTATGAGAAACAGTCATTAATACTGACAGACCATAATTATTCTTATATCTAACCTATGTACCCTTAGAACGTTTGTTAGAACGTCAGAATTTAAAAATTTAAAACGGTAAACACACATTAGTGTCAAATTCACAAAGTGTCCTCATAATGGAGCAAGGTGCTCTCTGTTGGAGCATTTTAATTACAAATGGGATAAACTACTTCGTTTATCCCTTGGTAGATATTATAAAACTATCCTGACCTCTAAGATTTTGATGAGTTTTTGAAAAAGATTCCTTTAATTATTAAAGTTTAAAGCATGGCAACTGAAATACATGAATCTGAGTCAAACACCTCACATTGTCTTCTCAATGAGGATTGGAATCAACACTTTCAAAATGCCAGGGAGTCTAAACACATTTTGCTTTTTTCCTCCCTAGCATGAGGAGCAGAGGGTAACTTACCTAAAATAGCAGCTTTCGTTGTAATGTAAGATTATTAGAAGGTAGATATAAATAGTGAAATTTATCATACTGCTAAACTAATTATAGGTTATATTGAATTTTAACTTGTCACTAAAAACGGACTTTTATTTTGTGGGTCTGTACTGAAATGTATAAAAAATTGCTCCTTCTCCTTGCAAAATTGCTGAATATATATAAATGAAAAAGATACAAAATTAGAAAAAAATTCTATTTATCCTTTTCTTCATAATTTTCATATTTTTTGCTACCACTTTTTTCTTTGTTTTAATAACTTTTGAGAGCTCACACTGTATTACAGCTCTAAAGACTTCTGAGGAAACTGGGAAGAGGATTTCTTAGAATGAATCCTCCAATTATGTTTAAGGTGTGTGCGCTTATTATTTCAGGAAAGTTTTCTGAATTGAGATCTTAAAATCATAATTTTGATGGTTTCTTTCTTGAAGGGTTAATGGGTTCTATGGATTGGCAATAACAGTGATTTTTTCCTGAAAGAAAAATAATTGATTTGTCAAGGTTAAGTTGATGTGGCTGGAGGGGTTAAGTGAGGACAGCAGCTCTGAGCTAAAAGAAGGAAACATGAATTATCCTTGTGTATTTGCCCCAAGCCTTTTTTTCCATTACCAAAATAAAACGGAATAAGAACATAAGCACACCGTTTATGAGTCTGGATGGACGTGTTTTGTTCGCTAAATTAGATCTCTTTATTTTCTTTCGTTTCATATTTTAGACTATCTCCAAGGACCACTGGAAACTTCCTGTCGGCTTGTTTTAATGTGTTCTTAACCATGTGAATAAGCTTGACTCACACCCCACAAGCAAAGAACCTCATGTTAGGGAACTCTGGGAACGAGCAAAGCACATTGTAAATTGCAACACGTCTCTCTGGCCTCGCAGAGTTAGGGAGCGTTCTGATCACAGGCTTCAAGTTTTGGCTTGCTCTCTTCTGGACCCTGATGTGGTTCTTACGCTCTATAGACAATCAGGGGGTACTCATTTGAGCCACTGTCTCACTTCCAATAGGATGAATTTAGGTATTGGTTTAGACACTATATGCCAACTATGCCTGTGTGATGAATGGGCTAAGGAAGTGGGAGTGTGGTCATTCCCCTTCTTTTATACCCATAGCAAAGTGTTAAAAGTAGATTGTAGGTTTTAGTCAGTAAAATCTAGTAGTGGTTTCTGATTACATGAAAGTCACAGTCACTGCAGTTGAGAATATTTAATATATTTGTGAATGTAATCCATTGGCTTAACCAGTAACAAAAACTAGCCTTATCACTAATCTGAATCTCAACATGACCAAAACCCAATTTTTTATCTCAATTTACCCCACGTTAACCCTCTTCTAATATTGAAAACCTCCACCCTCCACATCTCTCTTTTCCATTCAAACACCAAGTCCTCTACTGTCTTCCTTGGTAACAACATCTTCTAGGTAAAATATTTGGGAATACAGTAGTATCCAATTAACATGGAATATCTACATTAATAAAAAATGAAAGGCGAAACTTTGGGGTAATCATGTAATGCATGATCTCATTTGGTTTATTTATTAAGATCTATGATTTTTCTCAGGATGTAAAATCCCCAATAAGCCAAGGCAATACCCAGAATTTTAAAAACTAACTGGTGCAACAAGGGCACCCAGAGGCCAGACTGCAATGGGATGGCCTCACACTCCAGTGTGGTCTGCACCTGAGTGCTAGCTCAACATTCCAACTCATGAGCTATGTAATATGTGCTATCCTCAAATGAGCTCTCTATTGTCTTCTTTTGTTTTTGTTTGTTTTTTAAAAGTAGGCTACTAAATGTAAACATCTTTCCTACTCCTGTTAATTGCAGTTATATAAAGTAAATCATGTATTCCCCTGCAGCTCTGTATTCAGTATACACTATTTGATTCAGGAATTAGAGGTGACTTTCCTGAAGTTCTACAGTATATATGTAAGTACAAATGCATGAAATATGTTAGAGATCGTGTTTAAGAGAAGCGTGTTAACTGTCAGAATTTAGCACAATGAAAATACAACCAAGCAGATATTCTGGAGCAGGATCTTCAAGTGAATACTTAACACTTGTCACTATTTACTTCTCTAGTATGTAAATACAGGGAAAGCAGCTGAGCCTTAGTGGTTCTGAGAATGAAACAATAATAATGATAGTAACAACAATTGTGAATATTTGTGGTTTTTAAAAATCTTATTCTTGGTCACATGAGAGGAATTCAAAATCTAATACAGGGCAACCATATTAAATCCTTCCAAACCAGGAGGGGGTATCAATAAATGTATCAATAGCAATTTAAACAGGATCAGAACTGGTTTATAAATACTTTTCATTACTATCCATTTCACTTTTTCTCTTTCCCTTAATTCAAAATATTAACATTTCTCTTTGATAGCACTTGTTGGATTGAAAGTCAACAATATGCCAAAAAGAAAACAGACCTACCTGTGTAATTATCAGATGAAACAATCTAATGATTTTTTTTGTGTCAAAGAAATGTGAGTCACTGGTGAAGTGGCTAAGAGAATATGGGAGCAGATGCTGAAATAATAAACATCTTGCATTATTTCATTTAGAGGAAGCTGCATAAATACCATCATAAAATAAAGTACTTGGTGCACTCTGAAAAACATGTCATCATCAGACAAATGCCTTTTTTATTACAAGCAGAGAGAACACAGATGGCTTGGTCTGCTCATTTTGGTATTTATTAAACTAGATTTACCAAAGAGCAGGTTGATGGCTCAGTATTTTCAAAATACATTTGGTACCTTAGAAATTTACTGAGCCCTCTCTCGGAAAGGCTGGTCAGGACTCATGCAACATCATCATCTATTACAAAGAAGTTTGAAGGAAAAGCGATTGTTTTCTCCAACTGATCGTAACATGAGTAGAGTTAAAACGTGTCGAAATTTTTGAATGGCAACAAGGTGAGAAGTGCCAGGAAAAGTTTGAGGTATAAGTTACTCTATCCATTCCTTTTTCCTTACCAAAAAAAACCCCAAACAATTAGTCAAACAACACAAGTGTGTACCATACAACTTTCATACCCACACTTCACTTTAAACGTGGGACACAGGCTGAAAGAGAACGAACTCTTCCTTGAAGCACACTAACATAGCTGAGTTCTTTGCCTTCATTTGTTAGCATGTGAAACAAGCACTTCTACCTTTAACATCAAACCAATTATTTGGAGCAAGAGACCCTTCCCATATCTCTAGCTTGTCATTGTTTCAGGGATTCTGTGTCTAATTTTCTTTGTTTTAAAAAAAATAAGATTTTCTTCTTTGTTTCTCTCACATTTTACCTCTATCTTTCTCTCCAGATTGTATAGGAGCCTATCTTGGGTTATTATAAATTATTATAATAAATCTAACCACTTTTTATCATTTTTATTTATTTTTAAAAAATTAAATGCCACTTTTGAAAGTAAATGTCCAGAGAAAAACATAATCTGATTGCTTCAGAGTTTTAATCCAGGTTGTTCATTTCTATCCTGGGAAAAATAAAGCAATAGTTTATAAAATGCAACATTGAATATAAAAATAGTTGAATAAATAAATCACAAATGTATTTTGGCTTGAATTTCTTACATAATTGACTCTATTCCCTATTTCCTTGAAGTGAATGCACACGGTCAAAACCAGATGCTACATTTCATGCTCATGGGGTATGAAATGCAGTCACTAAAAAAAAGTATATATTTACATATACATGTATAAAATTCATATCATGAACATTTGTAATACAAATAACAATTAATACAAACAATTCTTTTTAATTAATTATCATGAATTTAACGATGTTTAAGCCAAGGAAAATATTTAGTCACTTGTACATTAATACCTAAATGTTATGTGATAGAAATTCAATTCCTTCCAATTTATTTATGAGATTTAAAAAATCATTCTCATACTACATTCTGAAAGCATTTAGGTATTTGCTTCATTTGACAGACTCATTGAGGGAGAGTAGAGTTTTGATAGAAGTATACTGTGATATAAAGTGGTAATTATGATTATTTTTTGAGAATCATGAATTTCCTCACTTCCCCGAGGTTTTGGGTTTTGAGGTCAGAGTTCTTCCCTATTGATGATACCACCAGACACATATCTGATGAAAGACCCATAATATCTTTCCGACGATGAGCACACAGTTTTTAGTGATATAGAACATCTGTTCTTCAGCAGACCTTATCCTCCACTGAGCAGGGTTTTAATCCACGTTAATTCAGTAACTCCCTAAATAGCAGCTAGGTTTAGAAATGCATGGCCATCAAAGGAGATTTGATGTTGCTCTGGATGGTATCTGCCTGCTGGGTGCTTATGTACTTGCAGCTCCAACTGTATAATCTGTATACAGTCTTAGGGCAATCTTAAAATATTTGTTTAATAGATGCTAAATGCCATCCATTAGAGTTGAAAACATAGGTCTATAAAATTTATCCTTTTGAAGTTTAAGTTAATCAAATGTAAGGCTATACCCTGGAGGACAAATGTATAGGGAAGGTGGTTTCCATTTAAGGCTTGAAAAGTTTTCTTTCCAAAGAAAATGTCTTCATTCAACAGACATTTGAATGGTATTTTTTTATTCATTTGTGTTTTCCCAAGAGTTGGAATAATTATTTGTAGAAGAAAGCACTTTATTAAATTTATTTAACCAAAAAATTAGCTGATAACCTAGAGCAAATAACAGAGGACCTAATAGTTTGAATATATTACACAATTTATTTCATTAAAATAAAACTAGAATGGGAAGGTTTTGTCAAATTAAACTGTGCTGAATATTTAGAGAATTAAATTTTAAAATATAACTGTAATAGAGACTAAAATAGCATTAAGAATTAAGAAAATGAAAGCAAAAGTTATCACTCCAAATCTTATTTTAACTGTCGAATTACATATCTATAGGACTCTACAAATTTGCATTGACATCAACTCTAAATTGCATTTTCAGCACACATCTTCATTAGAATTGAGAACCAGTGTTTTTAGGTGTGTACATTAAAGCAATGGAAAGATAATCCTATCACTTATATTTTCATTTATTGAGCAACTACTGTGTGCTAGGCACTGAGGATAGGTAAATCAAAAACATTTTCATGAAGCTTTTCTGTTCTTTGTTCACACTTAATTTTTTCTTAACAAAAATTTACATTTCTTAAAAAACCTTTATTGTGAGATAATTGTAAATTCACATGAGAATGTAAAATAATACAGAAATCCAGTATACCCTTTACCCGTTTCGATACAAAACATCTCTATCACCATCACAAGCATTCCTCATACTGCCCTATAACAGCCATCACCGCTTCCTTCCCACACCAACTCCCGCATTCATCCCTGGCAGCCGCTAATCTTTCCTACATTTCTATAATTTTGTCATTTCAAGAATGTCATAAAAATAGGATGAAACATACATCTCTACAATATACTAAAATTAATTAATGTCATGTTAATAAAACAAAGGTGAAAAAAACCACGTGATCATCTCAGCTGCACAAAAAGCATTTGACAAAATCCAACACTCTTTTGTGATAAAAGCACAAAGAAACCTACAAATAGAAGAGAGCTTCCTCAACATAATAGAGGATATTTATGAAAAATCCACAGCTCACATCATATTCAATAGAGAAAGACTGGATATTTTCTCTCTGAGATTGGTAGCAAGACAAGAATGTCCTGTTTCATCACTAATGTTTAATATTATACTGGACATTTTCACCAGAGCAATTAGGCAAGAAAATGAAATAAAAGGCATCCAAATTGTAAAGAAAGTGAAACTAGCACTATTCTTACATAACATGATGTTATATACAGCAAATCCTAAAGAATTAATACACATCAAAAACCTATTTGTGTTTATAAATGAATTCAGTAAAAAAGCAGAACAAAATAATGCAACATAAAACATATAGTTGCATTTCTACACATTAGCAATGAATGATCAGAAAAGGAAACTGGGAAAATAATTCCATTTAGAATAACAATAAAAAGAATAAACACATAGAAAATACTTAGAAAAAATCATGATACACATGATTTTAGATTTGGCAATAGATTCTTTGATATCACAATGAAAGGACAAGAAACAAAAGAAAAAATAAATAACTTGAACATCAAAATAGAAAACTTTTACACTGTCAAGAAAGTGAAGACAACCCACAGAATGAGAGAGAAATATTTGCAAATCATGTATTTGTTACCCAAATATCTAAAGAACTCTTACAATTAACAAAAAGATAATTCTTTTTTAAAATTGGCAAAGGACTTGAATACACATTTCTCCAAGGCAAACCTACAAATGTTTAACAAGCACATGAAAAACGCTCAGTGGTGGTCATTAAGAACGTGCAATTCGAAAGCAGAGTAAGATACCGCTTCATATCCATGAAGACAGCAATAATCAAAAATTAAAATGAAAAATAACAAGTGTTAGTGAGGATGTGGAGAAATGGAGCCCTCATACATCAGACATCGCTGGTGGGAATAGATTACAAAATGCTACAGCCACTATGGAAATGGTTTGGCGTTTCCTCAGTAAGTTCAATGCCGTCACATGGCCCACAAATTTCACTCTGGTATATATTCAGAAAAATTGAAAACAGATGTTCAGATAAAAACTTACACACAAATATTAATTACAACACTTTTGACAATAGCCCAAATGTGGTAACAGTGTAAATGTCCATTGGTGGCAGAAAGAATACACAAAATGTGATTCATCCATACGAAGGGCGTGAAAAATAAATTCTGTTACATTTTTATGTCTTAATTTTTATACCTTAAATATCTAATCTCTGTTAATATTTCTATTGTGTTTTGGGATAAAAAGTTGTTTAATCTCTAGATTTTTCATACTCAGTTAAAATATTTTATGTGCTCTTTCTCCCATGATAATTCTCTGAATCATTAAACTATTTAATCCAGCTGTTTATTACCTTGTTACCTAAAGTAAACTCCCCACACAACTGAATTTCACCCAAATTCTCAATCACCTAATCATTCTGAGTTATTTAGAATAAGCATATTTTTTACATATTAAATCTTTATAATGTTTCTTCTTAGAGACTATTTTGTTATACTTATCTATCACCTATGTATTAATGGATGGATCTGATGTCTTTCTATTCCTTTTCCAATGCCATGCTGCCAAAAATTCTTTTGACTTGGCTTTCATATGGCTTCAGATTTAGTATTTTATGAAATATTTCATAATAGTTATATAGATATAACTATATAGCTATACATAGTTATAATAGTTATATATAATTATATATATAGTTTTCATATAGTTATATAGTTATAATAGTTATATCTATATAACTATTATGAAATATTTCATAAAATATTAAATCTGAAGCCATGTAAAAGCCAAGTCAAAAGAATTTGACTAAATTTGAAGTCAAAAGAATTTGAATCTAAATTGCATCCATATCCAAAACAAATTCTGGGAACTTTTGAAAATTAGAACCTACTTCTGTATACTGTATAAGGAGAGTGTAATAGTAATACGGAACACACTATAAATTTTACATTTTTGAAAGTGTCTTTCAAATCCTTCATCGCAATGACTTTTTCAATCTGGAGGTCCTACAACGGATCTTTTGTGGTTGTGCCAACATGTTATTGTTTGTACTATGGTAAATGGGATCTCTTTTTTCAATACATTTTCCAGGTGGCTGGTGCTGGTGGAGAGGACAGTTTCTAAGTTGTATATAGTTTTCCTGTGTTGTGCTTCATTTAAAAAAAAAAGTATTAATTTTGTATATTTATTGACTGGTTACTTATGTATTTATATTGCTAAAAAATAATGACAAATCTGTCTTTTTTAGAACTCATTTCTTTTAGTTTTTTATCTTGTTTTTTTTTTCCAAAATGTCAGTCCCATCATAGTAGTTGTGAAGGTTTGTATTCCTTTTACATTCCTGTTTGTAAGAGAAAGCATCTGTAAATTACCCTGAATATGACAATGACTATTGTTTTTAGATCACCACTCTATACAATTAAGAAGGACTCCTTTGATTCCCGTTTTATCATATTTCTAATATGGAAGGGGTAAAATAGGCACACAGACACGGTTCTGTCGAGACTTGAACCATTAGGCATTTGACATTGAAGCCCATGCCGTAAACAACTTTACTATTTCATATTTGGCCATTTTGATCATATCTTTCATAACAGAAATCCCTGTATTAAACATAATTACATATCTGATATAAACATTATTGGATTTTGATGCATTATTTTTAACATTTGCTGATAGATTTATGAAAATTATAGAATGTCTTATCCACTGTTGGGGCAAGAGAGAGAGTAGCAAACAAGCTATGGAAAATTGGACAACAGGTGTGTGTGTTTAATGAGGAAAACGCCTTTGGTTTAGAATTCGTTTTATATTTTCCTTATAAAATAAATAAGCAGCTTTTGGGATGCTTTGGAAAACATTCATAAGAGTTTGTTACAGTAGGTCCTAACCCCACCTCACGTCGGCCTCCTGTGTGTGGCCTCTTCCAGTGCTGTGAAAACCCCACGCAGCCTTTGGGGAGCAACTGTTACCTCCAGGTGATTTTCTCTTTGCGGCTGAGCCAATCACAATAGTGTATCACTGATCCAGGGGCACTTTTTGTGTTATTTTCCAACTTCCTTCTTAAATGCTCTCAAGAGCTTACTTCTTGTGCATCTGTGGCCATGGAAAACAAAGCCCATAGTTATTAGCGAATATTCCCAGGTCTGATTGCCACCAACGTCCCTCCAACTGCTGTAATGTTTAACCAAATTATTTACAATGTGTGCCTCCTTTGTGTCTCTTCCATAGAGATTTCATCTTTCTTTCTGTGTGTGTATTTGTTTTTCTTTTCCTTTTTCTACTAGCACTTCTATGCTTTTAAAATTTTTGTTGTCTTTGTTGTTGTAGTTGTTCAATTTTGTTGGGGAAGGGGGTTTAACAACAGAATTTATGTTTAATTTATGATGCCATGTAGCCAGAACAAAACATTCCACCCCATTGTTGGTTGCATTTTTTGTGTGTGTGAGTGACAAATTTAAAGGTATAAAAGACATGAAAAATGAGTATTTTACTACTTGATGTTGATGTATATAGTTTAGAAAATTACTGTAAGTGTAGAAATTAGAAAAAAATGTATCCGTGGAAAAGAATAGAGAACCCAAATACAAATCACACTGTATATGAGAATTTTGCACATAAAAAGGTAGTACCATAAGTTTGGGGAAAAAATATTATTTAATAAATGCTGAAGGACAACCTGCAATTTTGGAAGAAAATAAAAATAGATATTAATTTTATGTCACAAAGAAAAACAGAATTCATATATATTAAATTTTTAATGTGAAAAAGAATAACTTACTTCACGATAATCTAAGCGATCACATGAGCATTTTAATGGCGATCCACTTGAACAATTCTAAAAACTCAAAATGTATGAAAGAAATGTCAGACATTTCACAAAATATTTTCTAATTGAACATTTAAAAGATATCATATGCATAGTAAGTGGACCAACATATTATTTGGGAAAAATATAACGCAAAGACCAAGATAGACAAAAAGTGTACACACGTACATATTTATGTATGTATGCATATGTATGTGTGAAAAGTTTACACAGTGTGTCAATGGAAATAAAAATTATTCAACAGAAAGAGGGTTAATGTATATACATTTTCAGTTTATAAAGGCACAAATTGAAATACTGAAACACAGGAAAATAAATTTATTTGTAAATAAGACATAAAAATTAAGGTAACAATGAGATACTTCTTTATGTTCATCAGACTGGTAAAAGTAAGAATTCTAAACTTTTCTGTTGTTGAGGCTGTGATGAAAGGAACACTGTCAGACATTGCTTGTGAAAATGTGCAGCATTGTAATCTTTTTGAAAATCACACCAGCAAAACCAATTTCAATAAAAATATGTTTATATTTTTTCTAATAACACTAATATATTAACATTTTTAAGGATATACAAATATTTATTATAATATGTTTACAGTGGCAAAAAATAAACTGGAAAAATGTGACTGGAAATCGTTAGAAGAATGGTTAAATGAAATATTTTACATTTAAATCAAGAATCATGTTAAAAAGAAAGAAAATTGTATCAGTCAACTCAGAGGAATTGTCATTTTGTGTTCTTGAATGGGAAATGTAAGATGCAGACAAGTATACAAAATGTAATTCCATTTTAGAAAAAAATTTCAAAATGCATATGTGTAGATATATGTTTATATTTGTATACACAAGTCTTTGCATGACTGAATCTACGTTTAAAAAATAATTACAAGGTGATTAGCATGCATTCTTTGGAAGAGAGGTTATGGAGAGAGAGAGGCTGATGTAAAGTGAGATTGTGATAAAAGAGGAAAAACAAAGTAAAAAAGGAAAAACAAGTCTATTTGCAATATAGGATAAATTGCTATAACGTGATATTTTATACAGATTAAATTAAAAAGAAGTATTTTTTTTTCAAATCTCAAGTCTAAAGTGAATAGTCAAGAGTTGGTGGACTGCTCTGCTCCACAAAATAATCAAGGAATTCAAGCTAGTAGGGTGACTCTTTCATCCTTTGATTGTGGTTTTCATCATGAGATGCAAGGCAACTCCTCCTGTTTATTATTATTATTATTATTATTATTATGTATCATTTTGCAATTAGTGGAAAGGGGAAAATGAGAGAGAAAGACACACAGCCTCCTTATAAAAATACAATCACAAACTGGTGTTGGTATCCGTTTGCATTCTATTGTCTAAAAGGTAACCACACTTATTTGCAAAGAGTTTGGGCCATTAAGTATCTAGCCAAACTTAGGAGTTTTATTACTAAAGGGAAAATAGAGAGACAGAATTGGGGGAAGAAATTAGCAGTACAGTCATTCAACATGTATAATGTTATCATATCTGTTTTCAGATATATAAGTTTAGCACATATACATTTACACGTGTGTATATAAACTTGTATGCATATGCGTGTGCATATACATATACACATACGTATACATGAAATATTTTAAACATCAATAAAAATGTCCAAGTTTCATCTCATTTTAAATTTGGATCCCTTCTTACGAAGCAATTCTACTTCAAACAGTCTATCTTACAAATGTAGTATATATTTTAAAAAGTGTCAGACATAGATGTACATGTTTATTATAATGTTAAATAAAAAGTGATGAAAATTAATATACAACAATTGGAAACTGATTTAATCAATTGTGGTACATTGCTATAATGGAATTTTTTATAAAAAGCTGTCCAAAGTATAGTTATTACTAGTTTCAGAAGAGTATCTAAAGTATGAATTCCTTTATGAAATAGAAGGATGCATATTAATATTCAGGTGAATGAATGCAGGCAGAAGTAGCCAGATAGGCAAATAAAGTGATGATGATAGTTGACATACCTACAGCTAACATGTAGGTTTGGAAATCCAAAGATGAGAACGTTCTTCCTTCTTCCAAGAAACTATCAGAGAATTCAGGATCATTCAGCTGCCAGCAAGTGCTGGTTCTGAAAGAATCACGTGTCCAGGTAGAGGGGCCTGGAACTTCTCCTTAGGGTGCCTACATGCCAGCAGGATATGAGAAATGGAGGGATAGCGCCCTGTGCATGTTTGAGAGGACAGATTTGGACCAGAGATCTCAAAAGCCAGGAGGTGGCCAGTGGTCTTATGAAGGAGAAAATAGCTATGGCCCCTCCCTGGGCCAATGGCCAAAACTTAGATGGAATCGAGTACACATCCGAGAAGCCCACGGGGCACAGGTTTCAATGGCCAGTAACCAGCTACACCACACTCCCTTCTACACCCAGGCGGGGATACTCTCTGTCCACTGGAATTTAGGTTTCACACCTACAAAATGTCAGGGAGACTAAAGTAAATGGGATAGTTTCTACTCTGGAGCACGATGACGGCTCGAATGTTTTTGTGGTTAGAAAGAATTTTGGTGTTTTTCTTCAGTCCATATTATCCTCCTCTGAAGAAATGAACAATGGCTTGTTGAAATGATTAAACAGTTTTTAGAATGGAGAGAAAAAGAAAGCTTCCATTAATTTATCACAGTGTTTTTCCTCTTCATATATGTGTGTTTTAAAATTCATAGGCAAATTCTGGAAACATACCAAAGATGTTACTAATAGTAATTACATTTGAGGCGACAAATGGAGATTTGGGTGTAGAAAGAAGAAAAGTATCTGTTTTTGATGTTTGAATTTTTTTTACTGTGAAAATATATTAACTTTGTAATTTTTAAGTAAATAATAAAAAGAAAAGTAACCACTTTTATTGATGGTTTTCTTTTGAACTTAAAGAATTTTACCAGGAAGGGTTTTTAATTTGCTTGTAAGGGCTACTGTGAGCTTTCTCAATTTCTAATCTCACTACATTATCATTAACATAAAATCATATATCACATAACATTAGAATACAAATTTTTATTATTATCAATTTTGTTGTATTTAACCTGTGAAAATCACTTTTTATTTTTGAGGGGTCATATTAATTAATCCTGTGTTCAGATCCGTCTCTTCAGTCATTTTATTTATTTATTTATTTATTTATTTATTTTTATTATTATTTTTTTGAGACAGAGTCTTGCTCTGCCGCCCAGGCTGGAGTGCAGTGGCTTGATCTCGGCTCACTGCAAGCTCCGCCTCCCGGGTTCACTCCGTTCTCCTCCCTCAGCCTCCCGAGTAGCTGGGACTACAGGTGCCCGACCCCACGCCAGGCTAATTTTTTGTATTTTTAGTAGAAATGGGGTTTCACCGTGTTAGCCAGGATGGTCTCGATCTCCTGACCTCGTGATCCACCCGCCTCGGCCTCCCAAAGTGCTGGGATTACAGGCGTGAGCCACCATGCCCAGCCCATTTTATTTATAATTAACCTAAATTTCTACAATTTTATCTCATTTATCTTAATCAAATTCCACCTGCCTTGACTGAGATGTATTTTCGATGTCTGTCTCCTTGAGAGCAGTCTACCCCTATGTCCTACAGCAGATCAATTTAAGTTACGTCCTTGTCCTGTACGCTATCTGTGCCATTTGCTTTTTTCCCCTATTAAAGATTTTCCATTCACTAGAATAGTAAAAATTTTTTCTTATATCTGTTTGATTAGCATGTCAATGCTTCAGATTATAATTCCTTTTGTGAATTGTAGAGTCACATCATTTTGATATTATTAAGCTTCCCATCCTTAGGAACTTGTATAGCTGAACCAGGTATCTAAATGTCAAGTCAGTTAGACTGTTTCCTTGTTGTTGTTATTGTTGTTTAGTTTTGTTTTCTGCTTCCAATCAATTTATTACCTTCATGTTTGATCTCATACTCAGGTCAGCTCAAGCAGTTCCCTAGTCGCAGAAGCAAAGCTCAGCTGTGGGGTACAGAAGAGGTCCCTTGAAAACATTGCCCTTTCTGGTGGTGAGGTAGGGAGTGTGAAGCACAGCGAAGTATTAATACTGTATTCTCAGGTTAGCTCTTGTGGAGGATCTCAAGTTGGTAATTAGTGATTTTTTTCCCTAATACAATTTCATTGACACATTTGCTCGTGCTAATTTTTATTTCACTTGAAATTGCTCCATCATGAAAATCAAGCATTCAAAACAGCTCTTAAGACCCATTTATTTCTGTCCTGATTTAACAGTTTCTCCCACTGTGCCTCAACTTAATCAAAGTAAGGCTTTTCCCGTTTCACTTTCTTTTTGAGGTAACTCTTGATCTTCCATTGACATTCTCTACTTTCAACTCCACACCATCCAATTCCTATTTTCCAATCTCCTACCATTTTATCTGGAGATTTCAGTGAGTGAGTTTACTAAGACATCACATATAGAGAAACACAGTACTCTTTCTCTCGCTCTCTCTCTTTCTCTCCCCCAACCCCTCACACACACACACACACACACACACACACACACATGATAAGTAGGCACCAAGGGAATACTGAGAATGAAGGGATGAATAGGTGGTATGCAGCGAGTGCAGAGGATTTTTAGGACAGTGGAGCTACAAACATTCCTTGAATATATCGTGGATTCAGTTTCAGGTTAACTGCAATATAGCAAATATTGCTATCAAATGAGTCACACAAATTTTCTGCTTTCCCAGTACATATAAAAGTTATGTTTACATTATGCTGTAGTCCATTAAGTGTGCAATATCATTATGTCTGGAAAACATTGTACATGCTACAATTTAAAAGTACTTTATTGCTTAAAAATGCTAATGATCATCTGAGCCTTCAGTGTCATACTTTTTTGCTTGTGAAGAGTCATAGCATCTTCACCAAGAGTAGATTCCGTTTCAAGAAACCACTTCATCTGCTCACCCATAAGAAGCAACTCTTTGATATAGATGCCTGCTGACTAGTCAGGGTGATGATTGCTGAAGGCTGGGGTGGCTACGGCAATTTCTTAAAATAAGGCAACATTGAAATTTACCTTATCAATTGACTCTTTCTTCCATGAAAGCTTTCCTTGTAACATGCCATGCTGCTAGAGAGCATTTAACCCACAATAGAACTTCTTTCAAAATTAGTGTCAATCCTCTTAAACCCTGATGCTGTCTTGTCAACTAAGTTTCTGAAATATTCTAAATCATTTGCTGTCATTTTAAAGGTATGTTCACAGCATCTTCACCAGGAGGAGATTCCATCTCAAGACACCATCTTCTTTGCTCATCCACAAGAAACAACTATTTTTCTGTTCAGGTTTTCTAATGAGATTGCAACAATTCGGTCACATCTTCAGGCTCCGCTTCTAAATCTAGTTCTCTTGCTGTTTCTACCAGATGTGGAGTTATTTCCTCCACTGAAGTCTTAAACCCCTCAAAGTCATCCATGAGAGTTGAAATTAACTTCTCCCAAACTCCCATCAATGTTGATACTTTGACCTCCTCCTATGAATCACAAGCGTTCATGGCGTCTAGAATGGTGAATCTGTTCCACAAGGTTTATAATTTATTTTGCTCACATCCACCAAGGAAATCACTGTCTATGACAGCTGTAGCCTTATGAAATATATTTCTTAAATATTAAGATTTGAAATTACTCCCTGATCTATGGACAGCAGAAGATATTTTGTGTTAGCAGGCGTGAAAACAACATTAATCTAATACATCTTCACTGGGCTGTCAGGGCTATTGAGTGACTTGGTGCATTGTCATTGAGCAGTAATCCTTTGAAAATTTTTTTTCTGAGCAATAGGTCTCAATGGTGCACTTAAAATATTCAGTAAATCATCCTGCAAACAGGAATGCTGTCATTTGGGCTTTGTTGTTTCAATTCCAGAGCAAAGGATGAGTAGTTTTAGCATAATCCTTGAGGGACTCAGGAGTTTTAGAAGGGTAAATTAGCACCAACCTCACTTTGAAATCAATATCTGCATTAACTCCTAACAAGAGAGTCAACATGTCATTTGAAACTTAGAAGCCAGACATTGACTTTTCCTTTGTAGTTCTTCACATCCTAGATGATATCTTCTTCCAATAGAAGGCTGTTTGGTCTACACTGAAGATGTGTTGTTTAGCACAGCCACCTCCATCAATGATCCGAGCTAGATCTTCTGGACAACCTGCTGCAGCTTTTACATCAGCACTTGCTGCTTCACCTCACACTTTTATGTGACAAAAATGACTTCTTTCCTTAAACCTCATGAACCAACCTCTGCTAGATTCAGATTTTTCTTCTTCAGCTTTTTAACCTCTCTCAAACTTTTTAGAATTTAAGAGAACTACAGCCTTGTTCTGGACTAGGTTTTAATTTAAGGGAAGATTTTGGCTATTTTAGTCTCCTATCCAGACCATTAGCTTTGTCCATATCAGCAATAAGTCTGTTTGACTTTCTTATCATTTGTGTGTTCACTAGAGTGGCACTTTTAATTTCCTTCAAGAATTTTTTATTTGCATTCACAACTTGGCTAACTGTTGGACACAAGAGGCCTAGCTTTCAGCCTATCTCAGTTTTCAAAAAGTCTTTCTCACTAAGCTTAATCATTTTCTAGCTTTTGATTTAGAGTGAAAGATGTGTGACTCTTCCTTTCACTTGAACACTTTAGAGACCATTGGAGGGTTATTAACTGGCCTAAAGTCAATACTTCTGTGTCACAGTGAATTGGGAGGCTGGAGGAGAGGGAAAAAATGGGAAAGACTGGATGGTGGAGAATTTGAAACACACTCAATATTTATTCATTAATTCTGTTATTTTATATGGATGCAGTTTGTGGCACTTCCGAAAAACGACAGTAGTAACATCGGAGATCACTGATCACAGATCACCGTGACAGATACAATAACAATGAAAATGTTTGAAATGTTGTGAAAATTACCAAAATACAAAACAGAGACACAAAGTGAGCACATGCTGTGGGAAAAGGACACCTTTGACTTTCTCAACGTGGTATCGCCACAAACCTTCAACACATAAAACAGTGTCATGTCTGAGAAATACAGTAAAGTGAAGTGCCATAAAATGAGGTATGCCTGTGCTTTGTTTGATATTCTAAGGGTGGAAACAAGTCTTTACACATTTTTCCAAACCTATAGAAAGTCCAACACCAACAACGAAACCTAATGTAAACTATGGTCTTTGAGTGAAAATTACGTGTCAAAGTAGGTTCATCAATTGTAACAACTGTACCATTCTGGTGGGGGGACGTGGATAAAGGGAGGGTCTATGCATGTCTGGTGGCAGGGGGTATACAGGAAATCTCTCTACTTTCCTCTCAATGTTGCTGTAAACCTAAAACTCTTCTAAAAAAGTCTATTAAACTAAAAAACTGAAATGTGAACTATAATCTAACATCTACTCAAATATTTGCAATGAGCAAATAATTGCTCCAGGAATCAAGTGGTTTGTTTGCTATAAGATTAACATGAATTAAGTGAACTGAAAAAATTAAAATATTTTTGTCACTTTTTCTTAAACCATATTTTAAATAAGTCATGTCATCATGAAAACTAAAGAATAGGAATTTCAAACAGTATTGCTCCTAATGAACTAAATATTCAGTCTACTACTTGCGTTGTAATTCTTTTCACTGGAAAGTGCCTGCAAGGTGAGTTAATTTCCATGCTAACCCACAGCTAGCAGGCCCCTTACTGTTAAATCACGGTTGACAAGGAGGCAAAATCGGAGCTTCAATTACAACACATTTTGCCACATTTAAAGTCTGAGACACATAAATGGAAATATAGCTCATATATTTTAGTTACTAAAGTCTTGTGATGTAAACCATTCTTGATAGTCGCAAATACTTTTTGCTGCTCTTAACAAAAATGGAAATTAAGATAATGTATCAAAAATCCAAATGGAGGGTTATCTATATATCTTTTGAAAGGAGGTTACATATTCGCATCATTTGAAGCATTGGAAATAGCTTTACAGATTCTCAGCCTCACGCTTACTTTACGGAATCAGGGTCATTTGATGTAGGTTTCATCTTCTGTGGCATTGGAGCATAGAATACAGGAGGGAACACCTCTGCTGAAGACAAAACCACCAGCAGAGGAGGATGAGGAAATATACAAAAAAACTTTCAACCAAATGCAACGAAGGATTTCAGTGGAGCTTTTTATTACTGTTTAAAGTCTGGGCTTTGCTGAAGAGCTTGGGACCCATACAATGTGCCCATTACTGTATGTGCGTCCCTGTGTGTGCTTCACTGTGGGAGTGTTTCCCTGTGTGACTGCTTCCCTGTGTGTGTGTGTGTCCCTGTGTGTGTGCTCCCCGTGTGTGTGCTTCCCTGTGTGTGCGCGCCCGTGTGTGCGTCCCTGTGTGTGCGCGCCCCTGTGTCTGTGCGTCCCTGTGTGTGTCCCTGTGTGTGTGCTTCCCTATGCGTGTGTGTCCCTGTGTGTGCTTCCCTTTGTGTGTCCCTGTGTGTGCGTCCCTGTGTGTGCGCGCCCGTGTCTGTGCGTCCGTGTGTGTCCCTGTGTGTGTGCTTCCCTCTGCGTGTGTCCCTGTGTGTGCTTCCCTTTGTGTGTCCCTGTGTGTGTGCTTCCCTTTGTGTGTCCCTGTGTGTGTGCTTCCCTTTGTGTGTCCCTGTGTGCCTCCCTGTGTGTGCTTCACTGTGGGACTGCTTCCCTGTGTGTGTGCATCCCTGTGTGTCTGCTTCCCTGTGTGTGTGCCTATGCGTGCTTCCCTGTGTGTCTGCTTCCCTGTGTGTGTGCCTCCCTGTGTGCTTCCCTGTGTGCGCTTCCCTGTGTGTGTGCATCCCTCTGTGTGTGCGTCCCTGTGTGCATCCCTGTGTGCTTCCCTTTGTGTGTTCGCCTCCCTGTGTGTGCTTCACTGTGGGACTGCTTCCCTGTGTGTACTTCCCTGTGTGTGTGCATCCCTGTGTGTCTGCTTCCCTGTGTGTGTGACTCCCTGTGTGTGTGCTTCCCTGTGTGTGTGCTTCCCTGTGTATGCTTCACTGTGGAACTGCTTCCCTATGTGTGTGCGTCCCTGTCTGTGCTTCTTGTGTGTGTGTCCGTGTGTGTGTGCGTCCTTCTGTGTGTTATTTGCTGTGTGTACGTCCCTGTATGTGCATTCCTCTGTGTGCTTCCCTCTGTCTGCTTCCCTGTGTGTGTGCGTCCCTGTGTGCGCGCTTCCCTGTGTGTGTGTCCCTGTGTGTGTGCTCCCGTGTATGTGTCCCTGTGTGTGTGCTCCCCTGTGTGTGTGTCCCTGTGTATGCTGCCTTTTGGGTTTCCCTATGTGTGCATCCCTGTGTCTGTTTCCTTGTTTTGTGTGCGTCCCTGTGTGTGCATTCCTGTGTGTGCGTCCTTGTGTGTGTCCTTTTCTGTCTGTGCTTTCCTGTGTGTGTGCCTCCTGTGTGTGCATCCCTGTGTGTGTGTCTGTGTGTGCATCCCCGTTTGTGTCCCTGTGTGTGCGTCCTTGTGTGTCCTTTTCTGTCTGTGCTTTCCTGTGTGTGTGCCTCCTGTTTGTGCTTCCCTATGTGTGTGTCCCTGTGTGCGCATCCGTGTGTGTGTGTCCCAGGGTGTGTCCTTTTCTGTCTGTGCTTTCCTGTGTGTGCGTCCCTGTGTGTGCTTCCCTGTGTGTGCGTCCCTGTGTGTGCATCCCTGTTTGCGTCCCTGTGTGTGTGCCCGTTTGCGTGTGTCCCTGTGTGGGCATCCCTGTTTGTGTGCGTCCCTGTGTGTGCGTCCCTGTGTGTGCGTCCCTTTGTGTGTCCTTTTCTGTCTGTGCTTCCGTGTGTGTGTGCATCCCTGTGTGTGCTTTTTGTAATCTGCTTCCTTTTATGTGTGCTTTCTTTTGTGTAGCTTCTTGTCCTTGTAATTCTTTCTGTGTGTGTACTTCCTTGTCTGTGTATTTGTGTGTGTACGTGTGTGCGTTTTTTGATATACTTGGTCTTTGCAGGTGAGACTGGAAGAACAGTTATAATTCTGTTCATGGACACTTGGGCATGCCTAAAGTAAACATCAAGATGGTAATAGATCTGTGTTTTGCATATATTTTTATTTTCTGTATATTATGATGTTTTTCACATCTTTTCACATCACTGGCCTGGGAGTGATGCCCCTTCCAGGGCTAGGCAATTGCAGAGATGTCCCAGCACTCAGAGTGGAGTGTGCCTTTCCTGTGCACACTGATCCATCCAGAGCCCTGCCTCTGTGCCCTTCCACCCCAGGAGGCCGCATTCCTTTGCCTTTACTCATCCAGAGCCAGGTGGCCTGTGGTGCCTCCTGACCTTAGGGCTTGTGTGTGTGATAATCTGGGTTTCCTTGCACCTTTCTGATGTCCTCTACTGTGGCTTCACCGGACTCACCTTCACATACAATAACATAGCACACTGTTGCCCTGCCTGTCCTAATAGATCACCTTTGAGCTCCAGTAATAGAAAACTGTGGACTGTATCCTACAGAAGGGTTTTATAGAAACCGTTGTGAGGCTCTGACACACATAATGCCACCCTGTTGTCTCACTGTTCCACAGACTGTGACCCCCTCGGCCGTGAGGGCTCAGAGTAGAGGGATGGCATTTGCAGTTGAGAGAGTAACATGCCACCTTTACAACAAAGCAAGAGCAGACAAAAATACCTGGGGAGACTGTGAGGGGATGTGAAGTTTCTCTGATGTAAAAGTGGAGGCCAAGTGTGATAATGAGATGAGCATAAAATACAGCCCTGTCTTTTCAGATTTCATAAAAGTTTTTGACTTCACATGTTCAAAACTTAACTTCTGATTTTTCTTCCTATATCTGGTCCTTTAATCTTCTCATCTTGATCTTAAAATGTCAACTTTAGCTTCCAAGTTGCTCAGACAAAAAACCTTGTATTCATCCTTGACTCTATGCTTTCAAACTTTATTTTAATTCATTCTCTTGGCTGTTCATTCTAAATATATCCAGAGTCTGGTCTCTTCTCTCTGGAAATATAATGCAAGCCAGGTGTGTAGCATACAATTTTCAGGTAGCCACATTAAAAAGAAAAAAGGAACAGGCCAAGTTACTTTTAATAATGTATTTTAACTCAGAGTATTCAAAATGTTATTTCATCATTTACTAAATTTTAAAAATTATTGAGGTCTTTTACTTCCTTTTCATATTAAGTCTTGGAAATCTGTTGTGAATTTCACACCTAGAGCCCATCTCAATTCAGACACGTGACGTTTTACGTGTTCAAGAGTGACATGTGACTAGGGGTTCTCAAAACAGGCAGCCGAGCTCCAAACAATAGTTTCCTATGGCCTTTTACCCTCGCCTCTTAAAGTTTATACTCGACACACTAGCCAGAATTCTCGTAAAACCTACAAAACATATATACAACTGACCTTTATAAAACAGAAGGCACATGATTTCACTCCTTTCCTCAAAACCTTTCAATGGCTTCTGATGCCATCTAGAGTGATAAACATGACATGAAGCCTGGCTGACCACCCTGCTGCCGATTCTGTGTCCTGGTCCCCCAGTTCCTTCACTTGCTGGCTCAGCTTGGCACACAGTTCTCCTTCCTCTCCCTGAAACACACCTGGAATGCTCACATGTCAACACCGTGCTCTTGCTCTTCCCTCTGCCTGAAAATCCCTTTCGCCCGATATCAATCAGCCACACGATCCTGCATTTCTTTCAGGTCTTTGCTTAAATGTCCTGTTATCTGTGGTCCCAGATCTTTTATGATCATTGTCTATCAATTGTCTATCATTGTCAATTTCTTCAGAAATCGCTTCATACACATTATTATTATAGTATTTTCTATGCCATTACCCTACTTTGTTTTTCTTCAGTTAAACATGATCTTCCAACACTACGTATTTACTTGTTTACTTCTTTTTTGTCTCCCTCTGTCTTATACAAATAAATAAGACCAGGAGCTTTGGTTTATGTTTGTGTCTGCGGTATTGAGGACAATACCAGGCATAGTAGTCCATCATATTTTTGTTGAGTGTCTAATAAGTGAGAATCTAGAGGCAGGCTTTTATGTAACTTGAAAAGGAGTCTGATATTAAAATCCATGTAGATAGTTCAGCTCTAGTATTTTTTTTCCAATTATTTGTCACTTGGCTGTACAAGAGCAGGGCAGTGAGGAGCATCTGCCTTGGAGGGAGGAGTGCGTTATCACCGGCATTGTTGAGCATTGCCAATGCATGATGATACAAAGAAGCTGGCTGGCACTTAGCAGGTGTTACTCATTTTAAATTACCTTCAGACAATTCACCCCTTACTGGCCAGATTTGGTCTAACCATTCCCACTACCCTACCCTTCAAGAGCCACTAAAATAATTCTTAGTATACCTCCTTGGGAAGAGATCACAGTAAGGAAGACTCAGCTAAGGGAAAGAGTTGATCACAAGCTTTATAGTTGATCCGAACCTGGAAAGAATGAAAGACTCCAAACACATCGGATATACTTTTGTGAGTGATTTCTTTTAATTCACTAATACCCCTCTAAACTAGTTGTGTGCTCTAGAATTCCATTTCTTTCTTCTATTCTAAGACAAAGACTAAAGAATGTTAGCTATGGAACCCAGACAGCACATAATAGCTCTCATTTTACATATATGATGTTTATTTCTTTAAATATGCAATTTCACATTTGTTATAAGTCACTAGTGGGCATTAATAAATAAAGGTCTATCAGTACTTCTCAAATATGTCAGATTTTAACAATTTATTTTCATTGCCAGTATAGGTCATCGCTTTCAAGGGGAAGAACCCTAACCAATGCCTAAAACAAGGCAAAACCATATCATTGTTATAAAATAACTTAAATGAAGAATAAAGTAATTGGCAATTCTTTCGTCCTTCTTTCACGTACCTCCCAGCAACATGTACCTATCCATTTCTTTCCAGCCACATAGCTGTGTGACCTTACCTTTTATAAAGTAGATTTTACCCATCTGAAATAAAGCTTCTAAAAGGAGACATCCATGCTCTGTGCAATGGAAGAAATACACCATGAATGTATTTAAATAAAAATAAAATGAAGTCAAGATGAGATATAAACAAAAATGTTTCCTTAAAATTTGGCTCCAAAAAATAGTAAGAGGCAATTAGAGGAGCACTTCCTTTTCTGATTGCATCATTTTAAACTAAATGATAGAAAATAATATAGGAAATGTTTATAGGAAAATGTATAAAATTTTCTTTTTACTACCACTTGTAGTAGAAACTGAAAATTAAATTATCTCGGCACTGAAATAAATACTCAAGGAAGTGTAATTTCTCAGTTACATTTCTTCGAATTCTGATCTTTCAACATAGGAAAAATACTGACAAACATATCAAATGATAATGTTAGAAAAATTTCCTTTCTGGTTAGGTGTGTTACATATAAAGCTTATTCTCATCAACATACATTTTTATATATTACTAAATTAATGCTTTCCTTAAATCAGTAGTTTTCTTATGGGTCATGTCTAAATTATCATAATTAAGTAAAATCATATCACAGTTGCATTCATTAGCAAACTCTTGGGAAAAAGAGCTATGTATTACGCCTTCTCAGTGGGTAACTGTTGTTTTTGTAAAACTGTCTTTGGTTACTGACAGTAGGAATGAATCAGTAGAATGAAATTATTAGACTCTACTAGGAATTCATTTTTGTGTCCTGGATAACTAAGGCCTATATGATGGAGGGAAGTATTTTGGCAAAGCATGCATGCCTGGCTCATGACAATATGTTCTTTCATTATTAGCAAAGAATTGACTCGATGAAAAATTTCATTAAGTGGTTTTCTCTGAGAGTCAATGGTATCACTGAGTGGTGATTCACAGGGAGAAAGAAAATGCATTGGCACTCATGCAAATGAGAAAATTAATCAGAATTGATTGCTTTTTGCAAAACCATTTACCATGCTGAACTGTAGTACAGTAAGTCTTGCACATTTTTTACAAAGCAATTTAAAAAGTTTTGAATATTCAAGGTGTGGTGACTCCATATTTTAAAATCATGTGCCTGTGGAACAAATGATCAATTTAAACATCATCTATTCACTTTTTTTTTGAAAATTGTTGATGCCATCCCACAACTTCTTCACACAGCTCAATATTATAAAATCATAACATTTTGGTTTAAGCAAGAAACAGTGTTTTCATTAATATAAACCATAAATATTATTTTATAGACCATCATTTTACTTTTCACTTTATTAAATTGTTTAATGTTTTTCCATCCACTTCGTTTTCTACATACTTATCACTATTCACCTCATAAGTCATCATCAAGCTACTCTCAATTTTTTTCATATCACTAATCTGTTCATGAATTTTTCATTTCCTGGAGACCTCCCTCTTGTACCCACTGTTCCCATCTATACTAATCTATTCTAATATTGGGCCGGTTTCTCTGTTGGATATTCTCTTTCCCAAAGTCTACTTGCCTTAATAATTGTTCTAAAGCATAGTCTATAATAACATAAGAGTTGTATGCATTTTAACCCTAGGATATTTGAAAATACTTCTACTCTCTCATTACACTTAAATGATGGTATGGATGCATGTGGAATTCTGGATTAAAAGTACTTTTCCTTAGGGATTGAAGGCTTGGCTCCACCATTTTGGAATCCAGTTATGGTGGCGCAGATTCTGACGTCATTCTGCACGCCATTGTTCTGCAATGCGCCCTGCCCCCAACACTGCCAGTGCTTGCAAACTTAGAGGATTTAAATTCATCACTAGTGTTTTGAAATCCCAGGATGTGTTCCTGAGACAGTCTTCGTTGTTTTATTGTCCTGGGCATTCTGCGTCCTTTCAGTCTGGAGATTTTTAGGTAATGGGAAATTTGTGTGTTTTTCTGAATAATTTCTATATTTCAGTTCTTCTATTTTTCTCTGAAGAACATAATGGACAGGCACTATGTCTCACGGATATTGACTTTTTTAAGTACAAATTGGCCGGGCGCAGTGGCTCACACCTGTAATCTCAGCACTTTGGAAGGCCGAGGCAGGCGGATCACGAGGTCAGGGGTTGGAGACCATCCTGGCTAACACGGTGAAACTCTGTCTCCACTGAAAATACAAAAATTATCCGGGCGTGGTGGCAGGCACCTGTAGTCCCAGCTACTCGGGAGGCTGAGGCAGGAGACTGGCTTGAACCCGGGAGGCGGAGGTTTCAGGGAGCCAAGATTGCACCACTGCACTCCAGCCTGGTGACAGAGGGAGACTCCATTTCAAAAAAAGTTAATTAATTTAAAAAAAAAATAAAGTACAAATTGTTCATATTTTATTTTAAAGCATTTTCTTGCTCTCTGTCCTTTTTCTCTGTTTTGCAATTCTTTCTGTTTCGATGACTTTTTTTTTTTTTTTTTTGCCTTTCCTCTAGCTTCCTTTGCTTCTGAGTCTCTATTTGCAGTGCCCCGATGCTAGAAACCTGAGATCCCATGGCTTCTCCAGAATGGAGGCTTGGGCATTGTCAGCACCCTCCTTCCAAGAGTTGAAAGTTCCTCTCTTCTGGTAAGTGAGAAAACATTTTTATTCCTGTTTTCCATCTTCTGCAGTTTCACTGAAATAATTACTTTGCTATTGTCACTTCTCACATTCTCATTGTGTGGGTTATTTTTTTTTTCTTCTAGCTTTTTACTCCTTTGACTAGAGGTAGAGATTACACAGATATGTTTATCTGCAATATTATTTTTAAAGTTTTAAGTACACAACAAAGTACTTAAAAAAAAGATCTAATTTTTTGGAAGTTGAAAATCAGCCAAGAGTTAAAATTTTCTTAAAAAGACAAATATTCTATGGGTACAAGAAGAACTTGGCAGTTTTAATTCATTTTTCAGGGCATTTTTTCCTTTATTGTGTTGTCATTTCTTTATCCTTCTTTTCATCCAACCACTATTGTTGTAATTTTGCCATGATTTTGTACCTAAGTGAATTGACATCACATGTTTAGGGAGCCCTTTCATCGTGAGAGGAGAGGCAGTGATATCTGCCTACTCCACACTCCCTTTCCCCACAGATACCCCTTTCCCTCTGCCTAAGCCTTGTCAACCCATGGCGGTAGATGACTTGAATAACAAATACCTACTAAAATCCACTGCATATAAGGTAGTATACAGAGAGCTAGGCAGTGTTTCAGGCACTGATAAGGTCCCCAGAATGCATGATTATATAAAACCTCACAGATTAGCCCATGAAAACATAAGGCAGGAGCCAGACTGACCTAGATTCAAAACTCAGCTCTTCTGCTTACTAACTCCAGGAAATTAAAATGAAAATTGAAATATCTATTTCCTAATTTGTAAAATAAACATAATAGGCATAGTAATTCCTACCTCATGAGCATGCATAAAGACTAAATAAAATATGTGAAGCACAGAGCATAATATATCCATTAGATTTGACTACATTTACAGAAAACCAAAAATACCTGTTTAATTATGACAGAAGCCTATTTCCCTCTTATACAAAGTACAGATGTAAGCGTACAGGGCATGCTGGCTTCAAAGTTGCTAGGCCCCAGGTTCCTTCCAGATCAGCACTCTGCTGTCCCTAGAAATAACTTTCATGGCCATGGGTCAAGACAGCAGCTCCAGCAGTTAAATCAGAATTACTTAGACATGCAGAGGGTGCACACCAGCTGAGATTTCTTTTTTAAGGCTTTCCACAAGCTCCTTCTCAATACTTTCACAACCCATTGGCCTCAACTTAAGTACAGGGTCCAAACATATGGCAAGGGATGGTGGAAAATAGAGTCTTTATACTGAAAACCTATTGCTAAAAAAAAAAAGAGAGAGAGTTAGAGTCCTATTAATAAGACAAGAGGGAAGAACAGACATTTAGTAGAACAAACAGCAATCTCCCCCACACTTGTTGAATGGCACATAATATCCAATCCATAAATGGAATTGTCATTGCTAGCATGTTAAGGTCACTTTTATGACTTTCTAGGAACTACTTTTGTGATTTTAGGGGTTGAAAAAAATGTAGGCAGCTCCAGGAGAGCCTGTTTGACATATAGTATATTATGGGGATCTAATATTAGCACTAACGGCTTAACATTTTCCTTTGTGAATTACATTAGCCACATCTATAAGATTACATATGCAGGATTATTGTAATTTAATAGCATCAAATTATATTTTAATTATTACTTAATTCAAATGTAATCTAATTTCAATGATAATTTTTAAAAAACTGTCTGGGTGACGTAAAAGTATGCTTCTGAACTTCCAGACAGACGCAGATTTTTTAAGTGATCTTTTTGTTATTGATTTGAGCTTAATAGGAGCTGCAGGATTTCAAATACTGAAATCATTGAGGCTTCCTTTATGGTTCACCACAGTCAAATTTTATATGTTCCCCATGGGCTTAAAGGATGTGTATTCTTTAGTTATTTTGCACAATATTTTATACATATTGAGTCAAGTTTTTTGGTCTTGTTTATCAAACTTTCTACAGTCTTAGTGAATTTTTATATTCTTAGTGATTTTTGGCTATTTTATGTAACACTCAAAAATTTTACTCAAATTTTTCCTGCTGTACATCATACTAATTCTGCTCTTAGTTTTCAATTTTTCACATTTGTAGCTTTGTTTTTAAGTGCTCCACATTAAATTGATACACCTTACTGGCACATTAAATGTTGGGATTGTGAAATGGTCATATTTATTTTTGTCAAGCCTTTTTCTTAAAGTCTATATTACCTGATAATGTATTTCTGCCACTTCTGTTTTAGTAAAAATGTTACTAGTATAAATTTTTCTATTTTTGTAAAATCCCTTCTGTATCTTTTAATTTAAGATGTCTCAGGTAAAATGTACAATTTTGCATTACACAGTTTCTTGTTTGTGCTTTAGTATAGTCTGACAATCTTAGTTTTTTAGTTGAATCATTTAGTGCATTTACAGTTTTGTTGCTCCAGATATATTTGAATTTCTATTCACTATCTTTTAATTTCTATTTTTCATACTTATCGTTGCTTTGTTTTTTTCTATCTTGCCTTTCTTTTTAATATTCCTTATATATTTTTAAAACTGTGACAGTGGAGGCTTGCATTTGTTAATGTAGATAAAGCTCTTATAGCAGTGCCTATTACAAAAATAAGTGTTTTATTTTAATATTGCAATTACAATTGGGTATTTTTATTTCTCATTTCATTTTTTCCCTCTATAAGTTTAGAAGTTAATTGTTCCATTTTTCAGACTTTTAGTGTTATACTGATGATTGTAGGTTGTTCACTTTACAAAATCTAAATTTAATGAACATTTGTTCTATTGTTTTGAACTATAGAGAGCATTTAACTCATTCAACCTTTTCTCAATGAATGTGCTATTGTTGACACATACTTTAATTCCATTTTTCTAATCTCCCAAAATGTTATTGTTGTAGTTTGTATCGTTTATAATCTAATTTTTAAAATATATCTATTAATTTCTTTGCTTTTCATTTTTTCTTGTTAGATTTTCCTTATGGATTTACTTTCCTTGTGCCTGAAGTACATTTTTTAAAATATTCTTTAGAAAAAGTTTGCAGTTGATAAGTTTTATCAGTTTGTTTTCCCGACAAATGTCTTTATTTTGACTTCATTCTTGAGAGACACTTGGTTCCTGGTAAAGGCTCTGGGTAAATGGTTATTCTCTGCAATGCAATGAAGGTATCTCTCAGACTTCTGTTACTTCTGCTAAAATGCCAGCTTCTAGTTTAACTCTTGCTCCTTTGAATGGAAACAATCTTCTAATTCTGGCTAATTTTAATATATTTTCTTTCTCTGTTTACTCCTTCATTATGATCTCTTTTTGTGTTGATATTTTAAACTCTTTCTGGGTACATATTGGAGCTGTTTAAACTTTGTGTTTTTTTATTTCTTCTGAAAATTTTTAGTCCCTATAATTTCAAAGATATCCTCAGCCCCATTCTTTCTCTCTTCCTTTTTCTTCTCCAACAGGATCACCAATTATATGTATGTTAGGTCTTCTCACACATTCTTCCATGTTTCTTAAGCTCTCTTTTACATTTCATCTTTTCGTTTTTCTTCACTGCATTCTGAATAATTTCTGTATATCTTATTCCACTTCACTAAGTTTCTCTTGAACTATGTCATATCTGCTATTAAATCTTTCCTCTTATTTTAAAATTTTGATTGTATATTTAACTTCTAATGGTTATGTTGATTATTTTATAAATCATTTTGGTCATCCTTTACATTGTCCTATTCCCTCACGTATTAGCAAACTTGTTTATTATATATATAATATTCTGAATATTATAAATATTTGAAAATTACTCAGAGCACAAACAATACTATGTGTGCTACAGTTAAGGCAGGAAAGTGTTTGGCACTTTTCAAGGAATTGAAAAGTAACTTAGCTGTATAGAATGCATGAAGGGTGGAGGACAATGAGTTTTAGGAGATGTGGTTGGAAAAGAAGACAGAAACCAAATCTGCAATGTCCTATAAGCCATGCTGAGAATTTTGAAAGTATGAGAAACTATAAACACTCTAAGTTCAAATTGTGTATTCTATTTTCCTAAGGGTTTTTTTTAAAATATGAATATAGGTCATAGCTATATGGCTTAGCAGAAATTGTTTACCATATAGGCAAACTTTATTTCTAAACTATATAAACACACCTGTGTACATACGCACACACACACAAATAAATTTACCACTTGAAAAAATGTATTGGACACTCAGTATGGCAAGTTGCTCTCAGGTAGGAGGAAAGAGCTGTTTGCAGGATTGCGCAGACATTATGGTATTATATATGAAATTTTAGGTTGTTAATCTTTCTGTGATTTCAGGTCAACAAATATAATTTTTATGCTTTGTATAGTTCTTGATAGAAAGTAACCTTTAGTATCATTTTTCTTAAACCTACCAAATTATTTCTGCAGTAAAATTATGAATTAAGACTCTCATCTAAAACGAATAGTCTAAGAAACACTCTTTTCCATTGGATTTTGATTCTTTTGAGCCAACTATGTCTTTTGCCTGTGTATTCAGTCACAATAATAGCTTCATAGAAGCTTTAAAGTTATGTAAATTAAATAGTTACAACAGCTCTGTTTTAAAAACAGAAGAAAGCATGAAATTTGTGTTGAGAAATATATTTGATAGTGACATATCTATATCTTATTTATACAGACATACAGACAGGATATAGAAACAGATTAGAATTTGCTTGAAACAATCCCACTGGTCTGTCTCTGTCATGAGGGCCTCCAGCAGCACCCAGGAGCTGCTATGCTGTGTATGTTCTTAGGTCTGTTCTGCCTCTAGAGTTGACTGAAACTAATATGATTTATTGCTGAGTGCTATTGTACTCTCAAGTCAGAATTCCTCCACAAACCACCCATCCATAGAGTGTTGCTGTCGACTCAGCCAACACCAGGCACATTTCAAAATCATTAATTAGCTCCTGGAAATTTGGTGCCTCACTGTAATACACTTTAAAGTTTTACTTTTAAATCCAAACCTTAAAAATATAACTTAAAGACTAGTTGAAAATAAATGTATTTATAATTAGAGGATAAGTATAGTTACCTTTACAGTATGTCATAAGTAAAGTTCTATACACACTACTAATTGTATATGATAAAAGCAATACAGCTAGCATAGCCTGGATACCCGTCTGTCTAGGATGAGGATGAAGTATTACTTGGTAGAAGCTAGAGAAGAACTTCTTCTCGTGGCCGTGATTGGGTTAGTTCTCCTATGTCACCCTGCTTTTATGCCACAACCCTTTAACTCCACTCTGATTTATGAATATTTGAGTTAAACTTATTTCCTTGAATCAGAGCAAGTGTACTAACTGCTAACAATTCTACCCTCTGTCTAGAGTTTTTTAAAGCTCATCATTTAAATTACAGAGATGATCTGTCTCAGATAATCTTAATCTTCCTAATTTATCTGTCTTATCTTCACTCATTTTGGTGTATCATTATACAGCTCTATACTGCAGGCAAGGTCAGTGAAAATGAGCATACAAAGAGGGCACAAAAATGTACTCCATTTACAAATGTCTATGGATATTGTTTTACACTTTAGCGAGAAAAATTTAATGAAATTTTACAGTTCAAAGAGGAGCAAAAAATATCTTCCAGAAATGAGTACTAATATTAGATGGGATCAGATTTCAAAGAGAGTGGTAATGTGGGGTATAGGTAGGGATAAATTGAGACCCATAATGATGTAGTGTACAGCACATTCTCTAGAAGCAACATATGACCCTGATGGGTTTGTGACATGAATCATAGACCTCTTAGTGTATCTATCTATCTACACATACACACACACACATATATGTATACACACTCAGAATATACATATTATATGTATAATATATTATATAATATATTATACATATAATATATAATATTTTATATATATTATATATTATATATATTAAATATTATATAATTATATTATATAATAATATATATAATATAATTATATAATTATCTATCTACACATACACACACATATATGTATACACACTCAGAATATACATTATATATAATTATATTATATATATTATATATTATATAATATTATATATATTATTAATTATAATATATATTATTAATTATATATTATTAATTATAATATATATTATTAATTATAATATATATTATTAATTATATAATATTATTAATTATATAATATTATTATATATATATTAATATAATTATATAATATGTATATTCTGGGTTTCTCCAAACAGAAAGGTAAGTATTGTTTGTTGGGTTGGTTGTGTTTGATGGAGAAACATGATCCTGGAATAGGAAACCAAAGAAAGAGAGATCTACTAAAGCATGAAGACACTGTTTGTGTGCACTGGGCTGTGTGAGAGGGAGACTATGTGCAGTGAACACTAGAACTGGAGGAATGAACTGAACTCTGTCATTCTTTTGTACATGATCTACAACTTCAGGTAGACACATGTCTGGAATATTTGGGAACAGAAAATTCTCCGGTTGAAATGTTTATATTTTCCATAATAACCTGTGATTGTTTTGCCTATCCTCATGGGCTGCTCTAATTGGTCCTAGCATGAAAGCAGTAAAATAGAGGATAATGGATTATTAAGAACATAAGCTTTGTGGTTCATTCAAGGGTTTGAGTGTCAGCTCCACTATTGTGTGCCTGTGTCACCTTATGCAGATTACTTAAACCCCCAAGATTCAGTTTTTCTCATCTTGAAGATATGAATAATAATATCATCTCTGACAAAGTGTTGTTGAAAGAGAAAAATTCCAAAGAATTATTTAATAAAATGCTCAGTAAATCGTAAGTATGCAGAGCATGTTAGCTATACCTTTTTCATGGTGGGCAGAAAGTTCTAGTCCTGTACATTTTGGGGACATCTCTACCATCCTTATATAAAAAAGTGGAGGAATAGAATTACATGATACCATGATCCTTTTGTGGTTAACATTAAAAGAAACCATGATTTTCAAATGTTTTAGTTGATAGAGAGATGAGCACAATATTTTATAGTTTAACATTTACAACGTAAATGCCATGGGAATGGCTATGCCGTGTTCTGGTGCTATTCAGAAGTTTCACATACATTCCATAATATTCTGCTTCTACATTCTTGATCTTTGATAAAAAAGTATTGGTTCTTATGCATAACAAAACATAGAAAAATCAGTTTATACTGTTTTACAACAAAAAAATTGCTGGAAGATGTACTTTGAAAATGCTCCCTATTGTTTATGTTGTCTTTGCATCTTATTACACTTTTATTGTATGATATTCATCCTACTACAGAATTATAATTGTCTATAATTAATCTTTTCTTAGATTGTATTCACTTGAGTTGATGTAACTTTATATGTATCTGTCTATATACAAATATAATATCACACATTCAGACACTATTATAATTCATAATCTCTTTTAGCAATGCCTTCCCCAATGTTCCTGTTATAAATGCTCAATATCTTGTTCATTTTTGTGATATCTCTTGAAAAGCTATCCATTCCTTAGGCTCTTGGTATCAGAAAAGCAATGAATGAATAATGGTATGAAATGGTAAATGTCAGAAGTTGGTTAAGTAATGATAAGGAATATGCTCTATGAAACAACAGTGAATTTTGAAAGTAAGATCCAATTTGTATCTATTTTCCTCACTATTTTACAGATGAGATGAGTTATGGATTTGTAGAAAAACTTTAAAGAAATCAAATCTATGTAAAATATTATAAAATATGAAATTATTTTTGTTGAAGTTCATAAACTTCACAGACTGAGACAAATATCTTTAAACCATTTATATTAACAAGCATTGAATGCAGCAATTCTGTACCATAACATGATATTCCAAATTAAACTTTTGCATCTCAAGTGACCTTTATAGCAGTTTTACAGTTCATAAATTCTGTACAACGTGGCTCTGTGGAGTGGTTTTAATAAATCTTTATTGTGCTATAAACCTTAGTGCGTACACTTGAAATGGCATTTCCAGTCTTAACAACACAAATGAAGGAATGGATCTTTGCTGCCATATGGAGTATTTGCCATAGATAGAGTCTATCAAATATTAAGCATGATTTCAGTAATAAGAAGAAAGCATAACAAGTTACTTATCATTGACACAGGACAAACAAATTGAGACCTATTATTTACAAATATTTACAACAGGTTCAAGAGTCTTAAAGAAAGCTTGCCTACCTTGGGCAAAAGCTAATTTGTTAATTTTATGAAAATATGAGACTACGTGATGCAGAAAGAGAAGTGTTTGTTAAGATATGAATGTCTTCACTCCTTGTAGCATGTAAATTTCTCTACTCAGCACATTGGTTATGTTTGATTGATGGACTCCCAGTTATTCTTTTCCTTCCATCATAATTTTATCTGCCTGGAATCTTAAGTTTGTGATTATATTTGGAGAAATTTATGAAAATCTCTGTGTTGGCTAAAGACAGCCTATTATTCTACATTCAGCCCTTTGAGACCAAGATAACAGTGTCAACTGAAGGCAGATAAAACTGCTGAAATTTAACTAAATATCAGCTTTACCACTGTGTTCATTATACTGTTTTATAAAACTAGAACAATCAGGAGTATAAATAAATATTATTTGAAGTTTTCAAACTATGCTGAAGATGTTAATATAGAGAAGATAATTTTCAGAATGAACTAAAAGGAAAAAAGCAAAGGACTTGGATTCTGTATTTCTTTCTCTTATTTTTCCTGCACATCCCCCATATTCTTTCAATGTTCCTTTCCCAAAGTTCAATTAGAGAGATTGTTAGCTTTCTGGATATAGCTTTTATGTCCTTTATCACTTACGTGCCTCTTTTCTTTCACCTTTTACCTAATAAAATTCTTAAATGTAATCATTTTGGCTGACTAATCTTCTTTTCCAGATTGTCCATTCTGGTATTTACTGCATCTGTTGAGCTTTAAAAAATAAAGATTTTAATTTCCAAATCACGTGATGGCTTCTTCATTATGAGGAACGTATCCTGTTGTATATCCCTGAAGACACACACCACTTACTGACACTTCTTCTCAAGTCCCTATTGACTTTACGTGTTTCACTGAATCTTAGTCCTTCTTAGTCCTTGAGATTGGCAACTTTTTGTGATATTGGTTTGCTTTTTTGTTGTTTTGTTTTTAATTTTTATTTTTGTGGGTACATAGTAGGTATATATATTTATGGTGTACATGATATATTTTGATAAGGTATAATAATCACATCAGGGTATATGGAGTATCCATCGCCTCCAGTGGTGTTGATTTTCTTCCAATGTTGTGTATTTGGGGTTGTCTACTCATATTCATGTTTCACAGTTTCTTTACATCCTTCTATTATGTTTACTTAAGTCTAAACTGGTAACTGGAAGATGAGACTTGGGTCCTGTGCCGGAGAGATCCTGCCCTTTCTGTGACCAGCAATTACCTGGGGAATTGTCTTGATCTCTGCTCCAGTTCCTGCATTTCCGTTATAACCAGAGGGTAATTGCACCACTATTTGCTGCTTAGCGTGAATGCTTTTACCAGTGCTCACTTGAATAATTTTCCATGTAAGTCAGATGACCTAGCTCCTCTCAATTTAGCTCCCACTTAATCAAGATACATTTCCCATGGTCCTTCCCACTTCTTTCAGCCATCGATTCTAGACCTTAAGCTTCTCCACACACCAGCAGTAGCTTTAAAAATAGCTTTCCTCAGCACTTGTTTTAGATACATATTTCTTCTGATTTTATTTCTACCTAGATTTGATCCCTGTGCATTTTCTACCTTTCAAAGACCCTATAAAATGTCTGTGCCTTAATGACACTATTTATCGTTTTCCCATTCTGCACTGGATTTGCCATATTCAAACTTATCTTTTTTGTCATATTGTGGAATGTGAGGCAAGGAGATGTGTGATCCTATCTTAATCCAAATTATTAATTAGTTTATAAACCAGCTTATTAGGATAGTAATGTTGATATCACAGATTAGTATAGTAGCCTTGTAATGTAATATTTTATTTATTTATTTATTTATTTATTTATTTTGAGACAGAGTCTCGCTCTGTCGCCCAGGCTGGAGTGCAGTGGCCCGATCTTGGCTCACTGCAACCTCTGCCTCCTGGTTCAAGCAATTCTCCTGCCTCAGCCTTCTGAGTAGCTGGGAATACAGGTGCCCACTACCATGCCTGGCTAATTTTTGAATTTTTAGTAGAGAGGGGTCTCACCATGTTGGCCAGGCTGATCTCAAACTCTTGATCTCAACTGATCCACCCACCCTGGCCTCCCAAAGTGCTGGGATTACAAGCATGAGCCTAAAATAGCATTTTGAAATCAGATATATTTTGTCTTTTACTAAACACTATGAAAACAGAGAAAAATCAAAGCTCTCTGAACATTATATGTGTGCCCACTTAATATGGGGCATTTGAGGACCAGGTGGCAAAGTGAGTTGCATAGAAAAGGATATGAACATTAAATACCGTGCAGAAAACCTTGATTTTATTTTAAACTTAATTATTATTTATGTACAACATTTGTCTACACACTGGTATTTGAGAAGTGAGCTTGTATCAGGGAAGACATTGGAAGCAGTTTCATTATATCATACAATTATTTATGAATGCCAGTTAAAATTTTCTCCTATTGAAGAATATTTGACTCATGAAAACATTAGATTGATTAAAATACATAAGATTTGTGGTATCAAAATTAGGGGATCCATTTCTTTGCACTGTTAAATCATTTAAAGCACTTTTCAATAACTTTACTGTTAGTCTGAGTAGCAAATTAATTCAGTGCTAGTTATATCTAAATGACTTCTCCAATGTAGAAATAAGAAGGTCAATGACGTGCGTGATGATTTTAATGATATTTGCAATATGAGAAAAGGGAAGCCTGCTAATATATAATAGCCAAAAGATGTCAAGTGGCAAAATTGGGCAAATTATTCTGGAATTGCTTAGAGAAAAATGATTTATTTGTGTTGGTACGACATATTACCTTCCTTATCAAGCCACTGCAATCTAGGAAGCTTCTTGAGAGATTGGGTTATGCATAGTATAGATTCAAAACTTCTTTGTTTACTACCAGAGACCCTGAATAATAGTAGAAAATAAAGGTATTCAAATTCAGCAGCTTCTCATTTCTAAACCCATATTCTCTGAGGAGGTGAAGGCCTAGAGCAGAGATCTTGCTATTTCTTGTTCCAGATTAAGGGAGCATGGTGTGTCCCTGTTTCTGAAAGTGGGCTGTGCAATTCCTAGTGTGTGAATATTTGTATGATAGTGATGATGATACAGTTTCTTGAACACAATGTCCAGGTTACATGGTTCCCAATCACTCCTCATGATCTGTGAATGAGACAGCCACATGAGCTGAGGTTTCTCAGGAAAGTGTTAATAAGCAATCCCCAGCTGGGCCCCAGGTGATAATGATGTACCTCCGAGGACACATCATAGCACAGCAACTGAAAGTATTGTGATCTCCGGGATTCATCTGAGACTCCATTGGCATGTGTGGCTTGTAGATAAAGCAAGGTTTATTATTTTGGTTCACAAGTTTCCTATTTCCGTCTTTTAAGTACAGAGGGAGTCCCAAGTTTCTTCATTTGATTTAAAATCCAAGTTAAAAAGAGAGAAGTTTCTGTTCTTTGTCATAACAAAAATAAATTCATAAGCCATGAACAAGGTGAGCTATTTCCAGAACTGAAGTTATTAAAGACCAGCACCTTAGGTGGCTACCTTGGCATCTCACCTGCAATTTGACATAGAGTCAAAAATGTCATAGTGATTGCATTCCATAAGGATCTCTTTCTAACCGCACATGAACGGAATAATCCAAATTAGGGGCAAAGAGTTTCTTAAATGTAAAATAGTTTCTTAATTGCTTATAGCTGATATCTGCAGGAAAGATAAAGGATCATCTGTGATGCACTTTCATTCTGTAGAGGAAGAAACACTAGACGAGGAGGACCAAGTAACTGCAGTGTAGCAGCTGCTTAAGTTAATGCTTCTCAAACTGGAAATCCGGAATTACCTGAGGCTCTTTAAAACAGTGATGCCTGGAACTGACTCCCAGACATTCTGATATTTTTGGTATACAATGTGAGCAGAGCCTAAGAATTTTAGACACTCCCTAGATAATTCTAGTGTGCAGCCAAGACCAGGGACAACTGACTTAAGCCACTATCAACGTGAATTTTCAGCTATTCCACTTTCTCGTTGGTAAAAGAATCACTCACAAATTCCTGCTTTGTAGGATTATTGGAATGATTATATAAAGATACTATGTGAATGGATTTAGAAAGGGATAAACTTATGTTTAAGATAAACATTTAATAGTTTTTCGCACTCTGAGAATGTTACAATTTTCTAGATGAGTTTGCAATTATCGTGATGGAGAATTATTGATTGATTTAAATTCTTTAAAAATTGGAGTTGTAACTGTGATTCAAAACGTGTTTCTCCTGATAGTGTTCTCATATTCAGATATTAAGCTATGACTCTATGAATTACGCAGCCAGGCGCAGCAGGGCTCATGCAGGTTGGCAGTCAGAGGTTGGCTGGTTCTCTTTGAATCACTTTGACATCTTTGGCAAATCTGTTAACATTTTTATGCCTCATTGGTTTATAAAACACAGATTGTAATAGATGCCCTGTCTCCCAAGTATATGGGGATAATCAAATGTGCTAACAGATGAAAGCCCTTTAAGAAGTAAACTTACTATTAACCTTTTACAAGAGTAAACATCAGCAATAATTCCAAGCTGTGAGACAGTCAGCAGTGTGTTATGAAAACAATATTGAGCCGAAAAATGAGTATTCTTTCTCTTTCTTTTTTTCCTCCTTAAAGGTAGAGATCTGAAACAAATTGACAATTATCTCCTATTAAATACCTCAGCAATTGATTTGTTTATATTCTTTTCTGTACTATTATAAATGTAGAAAGCACTTTATAATTTAAATTTTAAAAATTAAATTAAACATTAGAATATGCTTTCCAGTATGATAATTGTTTGATCTTTGACATGACAAGTCACATGATCTTTCTGGTTCTTTGCTTGCCATCTATATGAACATATGGTCTTTGCTGTCGCTTCCATGCTGTCACATTCAAATTCAAGTATCTAATTGATAATATGATATAAAATAAAAATGACTAAATATTAATGCTGATAGTAGTAGTGATATTTATTGTTTTGAACTAACAAAAATAGAGTTGTTATCTTGCAAGCCAAATGAGAAATGAATGCAAAGACTTTGTCAAGTAAGAAGAAATGACCACATGGAGTGGTGAGTCCGTCAGAATAAAGATATAAGATTCCCAAGGTAATGACAAGAAGCATTGAATTTGGACAAAGTTAATATATATTAGATAAAGCTAATGCCCCAGGGAAACCAAAGATGTAGTTGACAACCTTAGTTCTTAAAAGATTTTCAGAACACACTGAAAACAGCCAGGACCAGTGGATTTCTAGTTCTCTGTGTGAGAGGTGTGTAATTAAAGGTCAAAAATGCCTATTAAAATAAGTATAGGCTGGGTGCAGTGGCTCACACCTGTAATCCCAACACTTTGAGAGGTCGACATGGGCAGATTGCTTGAGCCCAGAAGTTCAAGACCATCCTGGGCAACATAGGGAAACCCCATCTCTACAAAATATACAAAAATTAGCCGGGCATGTTGGTGTGTATCTGCAGTCCCAGCTACTAGGGAGGCTGAGATGGGAGGATTCCTTGAGCCTGGGAGGTGAAAGTTGCAGTGAGCTGAGATTGCACCACTGCATTCCAGCCTGGATGACTGAGTGAGACCCTGTCTCAAAAATAAATACATAAATACATAAAATAAGCATAAATGTGTGTGTGAGTTTGGCATGGATATAAAAATCCATGGTCCATTATGCTCAATATTGGTGGACGTTTAGGGAATCAGTCTAAAGCCCCTTCACACAGTGCCTATTTGTCAACATTGATGAACATTTTCCTGATTTTCTTTTCTAGGTTCAATCCACTGATTTTATCTGTTTGCAGCTATTTCACTATTACTGTCACTGCCTGATTTTAATACAGTGAACAGCAAATCACTCAACTAAGGGTTTCTGATTTTATGCACTATTTTAAATATTTTCTGCAAAATAAAAATGCATATGTATGATGCATATATATATGCACACATATTCATATCCTAGTCTTTACTGTAATGCAGCAACAATCATAAAATTCTTTTTAATATGGTTTGTTATTAATATAAGGACTCCATTGCTACCTTATGCTAAATTGATATCCACTATTTCTCATAGTTTAGTGGCTTAAAACTACAAGCATTTTATTTTCACAATATTGTGAGCAGGATTTTGCACAAGGCCTGACAAAGCAATCCTTGTCCCATGGTGTGGATCAGGATTGCCCTGGGATCTTCAGCAGGTGTGGCCTCCTTGGGAGGGTCCACCACAGTACTGTTTGCTTGTCAGAGGACTTAGCAAGAGGGCTGAAAGGCAGGGCTCAGGTGGGACAATCCACCCAAACGCTGACATGGGACCCCATCAAAGGGCATTCTTGTAGTTGGACTTCTTACATGTCAGTCTTCAGGAGTCCCAGGAAGAATATTCCAAGAGTTTGGGTTTGGGGTTTTTATTCTTGTTTTTGCATTTTACCAACAGATTATTATACTTTCCCTTCTATTTTTAAGATACGTGTATTTTGGACTTTAATTTTCTTTAGCATCTTGGTCAAAAGCTGTAGATTCAATTTTCCAGGTCATTTTAATTCTATTTTCCCTCGACTTTCGATCTCTTTTTATTTATTCTCAAGTCTATGCCAAAGAGTAATATTTTCTAAATGAATGTGGATTATTCCAGAAACTTCTATTAAATATGTTTCTTGAAATGGCTTCAAAACAAATATGTCTTTCTATAACTGCCCTATTTACATCCAATGCCAAAAGTCAGCCTATATTCAACAAGCACTTTTAGGCTTCACCATATGCATAATTGATTGTGCACTTAGGAGAATTCAAGAGAGATAGAAGAAATGGTTCCTACATTTTTGCAATGTATAATCTATTGCAAGAAATCAGACAAACATGCAAAAAATAATAGAAGTTATTTCTAGTAATAAAGAAAAATGTACAACTTATGCATCAGTGCTGTAAAACACAAAACCAAATGAATAGTTTCAGTAGCAAGAGGACAGGCAGGAATTAGTCTTGGGGCAGAGGCCCCTGAGCCAGGTACTGACAGAATGCTGGCTAAGTGTGACAGAGAAGAGGGTGTGGACACGCAGCAAGAAGTTGAAAGGGAAGGAAGTGTCCGGGTTATGGCCAAAAATAACGTGATTAATAGTGATAAGAATAATGTTTCTGCAGTGGGTAAGTGAAATAAATTGCATAGCAGAAGGTTAAGGGGCTTATATGGTAAAAGAAAGATCAAATTTCTCTTATTTTCGTGTGAATTGAAGTAATTTGTTACCTATTCTTCCATTTAACTTTTATCTCAAGGGAAAAACAATCACATCTGAAAAAAAATGTATAAGGCCGGGCGCAGTGGCTCATACCTATAATCCCAGCACTTTGGGAGGCTGAGGCAGAGACCAGCCTGGCCAACATGGTGAAACCCCGTATCTACTAAAAATACAAAAATTAGCTGGGCGTGGTGGCGGCGCCTGTAGTCCCAGCTACTCAGGAGGCTCAGGCAGGAGAATCACTTGACCCCGGGAGGCGGAGCTTGCAGTGAGCCTTGATCACGTCACTGCACTCCAGCCTGACAGAGTGAGACCCCATCTCAAAAAAAAAAAAAAAAATTAGCTGGGCGTGCTGGCGGGCGCCTGTAGTCCCAGCTACTCAGGAGGCTGAGGCAGGAGAATTGCTTGAACCCGAGAGGCGGAGGTTGCAGTGAGCTGAGATTGCTCTCCATCCTGTGCAACAGAGCAAGACTCCATCTAAATAAATAAATAAATAAATAAATAAATAAAATATATATACATACACACACAATTATATATATGTATACATATATAGTGTATATATAGACACGTGTGTACACAATTGTGTATATATACACTTGTATGTGTGTACACTGTGTGTGCATATATATATAATCATATATTTGTATTTTTAGAGAAGATATATATACACACACACACACACACACACACACACACACACACACACATATCCCAGAGAACCTGGCTCAGAGGCCTCTGCCCAAAGACTAATTCTTGCTTGCCCTCTTGCTACACAAGCTATTTGGTTTTGTATTTTACAGCACTGATGCATAGATTGTACATTTTTCTTTATTACCAGAAATGACTTCCATTATGTATTGCATATTTGTCTGACTTCAATATATTACATCTAGCTTATGAATGTGTATACATATATTGTATGTACACACCAGTGTTAATTTCCTGGCATTAACTGTCATTTTGTTTGATATGAGAGAAATTGTAACCAGAGGAATTTGTGTACAAGACACATAGGAACTCTGTATTATTTGTGTGGCTTATTTTAGGTCTTAAATTATTTTAAAACAAAAGGTTGTATTTTGAAAATAAGAAAGCTTGCCTTTTCCTGAGTATGGATGTAGGTAACCAAAATGCATTGGAAAGAAAATAAAACTAAAGATCATTTACTTGATAATAGGTCTTAATTGAAGAGAATTTAAGTAAAAAGCTGTCTTTTAATTTGAGTAAAATATTATAGTCTGTAAACAGAGCTTCATTCAAGCTAAGTCATTAAGTTCCTAAAGAATAGTAGGAAAAATCTATGTTGATTTTTAAAATGCAATTCACTTCCGTGCATACACGCAATATTACATTTGGGTCAATGTAATATTTTACTAAAATGATAAACAAAGGATATTTTTACATATGTTTATAATTACTATATTTTCTTTGACAATACTTAATATATAAACATATATCTCCTACTCCTATTTTATCTGGTAGCTAAAAGCTATATTGAATATTTGGAAAATGGAATGAGCTGCAGGATCTTATTTTTTTGATTCTATAACTCCATTTCTGTTGTTAGGAAACATGCTGATTTCTGCTTTCTTTGGCACTTTTTGTTTGCTTCCTTACAGAGTAACCAATCATACTACATTTTAAATTTAGGAAACAGAATTTGATTTTTAGCAAAGGTGACATATTTATGAGTTGTTTTGTTGTTTTCTACCCAAGTTTGTATTTTTTAAAGGCCTGAAATAATCACTTGGACGTTAAGAGCTAAATCGAAGCACTTCTTCATGCACTTCTTAGAATTAGACCACTCGTGTAAATGGCTATTAAATGGGCTGTTTGCGTAAAATTCTTATCATCTTTGCATCTCCCAGCAACTTTTATCTTCAAATCTGCTAGTGTTCTAGAAATCTTTCTTTCATTATCCACTATCCCCAAAGCTCTTCTAAAATGTTAGAAAAATGTTTCTCTCCTAAATCTTTCTTCATTCATTTCTCAATTGAAATAGTTAAGACACGAAAATAAGAAGTGACTTTCTTAGAACAATTCTCATTTTCTGCAAGAGTAGGTTATTGTGACAGCATTATGGCCCTGTTAGCCTATTCAAAAGAGAGAAAAAGTCATCTAATACATGTTATGTGCCTTCTAACCAGAAACCAAAAATCCTGAAGGAGTTTTTCCATGGAAGAATACATGCATCCCTCAGAGATATTGTGTCTTGTTCCAGACCACTGCAGTAAACAAATATCACAATAAAGCAAGTCACACAATGTTTTTGGTTTTTCAATGCATATAAATATCATATCTATATTATACTGTAGTCTATGAAGTGTGCAAAACATTGTGTCTAAAAAAAGTACATATGTCAATTTAAAAATGCTTTCTTGCTAGAAAGTGCTAATCATCACCTAAGCCTTCAGAGAGTCATAATCTTTTTGCTGGCAGAGGGAGACTCTTTCCTCATTATTGACGGCTGCTGACTGATGAAGTTGATGGTTGCTGAAGGTGGGGGTGGCTGTAGCAATTCCTTAAAATAAGATAACAATACAATTTGCCATACTGGGTGACTCTTCTTTCCTGAATGATTTCTCTGTAGCATGCGATGCTATTTGAAAGCATTTTCCCCATTGTAGAATTTCCTTCAAAATTGAAGCAATCTTCTCAAACCTTGTCACTGCTTTATCAAATCAGTGTGTGGAATATTCTAAATCTTTTGTTGTCATTTCAACAGTGTTCACAGCATCTTCACCAGGGGGAGATTCCATCTCAAGAAACCACTTTCTTTATTCATTTATAAGAAGCAACTCCTTATCTGTTCAAATTTTCTCATGAGATTGCAAATTTCAGTCACATCTTTAGGCTCCACTTAGAAATCTAATTCTCTTGCTATTTCTACCACAAGTGTATTATTTCCTCCACAGAAGTCTTAACCCCTCAAAATCATCCATGAGGGTTGAAATTAACTTCTTCTAAACTCCTTTTAATGCCGAAATTTTGACCTCCTTCCATGATTCCATGAATCACAAATGTTCTTAATGGCATCTAGAATGGTGAATTCTTTCTGTAAGGTTTTCAATTTACTTTGCCCAGATCCATCAAAGAAATCACTATCTATGACAGCTATAGCCTTATGAAATACGTTTCTTAAATAATAAGACTTGAAATTTGAAATTACTCCTTGATCCATGGGCTGCAGAATATATGTTGTGTTAGCAGGCATGAGAACAACATTAATCTCCTAATACATCTCCATTGGGCCATCAGGGCTGTTGGGTGGCTTGGTGCATTGTCAACGAGTAGTAATGTTTTCTGAAAAATATGTTTTTTCTGAGAAGTAGGTCTCAAGAGTGGACTTAAAATATTCAATAAACCATGCTGTAAACAGGAGTGCTGTCATTTGGGCTTTGCTGCTTCATTTAGGGACCATCCATAGAGAATTTAGCACAATTCATGAGGGCCTTAGGATTTTTGAAAGAGTAAATTAGCAATGGCTTCAATTTAAAGTTGCCAGCTGTATTAACTCCTAACAAGAAAGTCAGCCTGCCCTTTGCAGCTTTGAGTCAGGCATTGAGTTTTCCTCCCTACCTCTGAGAATCCTAGATGGTATCTTCTTCCAATAGAAGGCTGTTTTAGAGGGCTGTTTTAGAAGGCTGTTTGAGTTATCTACACTGAAAACCTTGTTTAGTGTGGCCATCCTCCACCATAATCTTAGCCAAATCTTCTGGGTAACTTGCTGCGTCTTCTACATCATCACCTGCCAGTTCAACTTGCATTTTCTGTTGTGAAGGTTGCTTATTTCCTAAAACCCCATGAACCAACCTCTGCTACATTGGAACTTTGCCTCTGCAGATTCCTCACCTCTCTCAGTCGTCATAGAATTGAAGAGAATTAGAGCCTTGCTCTGGATTAGGCTTTGTCTTATGGCAATACTGTGACTGGCTTAATCTGCTACTGAGATCACTCAGACTTTCTCCATATCAGCAATAGGATGTTTCGCTTTCTGTTATTATTTTTTTTTTGAGATGGAATCTCACTCTGTTGCCCAGATTCTAATGCAGTGGTGTGATCTCAGCTCACTGCAACCTCTGCCTCCCTGGTTCAAGGGATTTTCCTGCCTCAGCCTCCCCAGTGGTTGGAACTACAGGTGTCTGCCACCATGCCCAGCTATTTTTTGTATTTTCAGTAGAGATGGGGTTTCACCATGTTGGCCAGGCTGGTTGGTCTTGAACTCCTGACCCCAGGTGATCCACCTGCCTCAGTCTCCCAAAGTGCCGGGATTACAGGCGTGAGCCACTGTGCCCAGCCAGGATGTTTTGCTTTCTTATCATTCATGAGTTCATTGGAGTAGCACTTTTAATTTCCTTAAAGAACTTTTCCTTACCATTCACAACTTGGCTAACAATTTGGTACAAGAGGCCCAGCTTTTGGTCTGTTTCAGCTTTCAACATGCCTTCCTCACTAAGCTTCATCATTTCTAGCTTTTGATTTTAAAATCAGATGTGCAACTCTTCCTTTTATTTAAACATTTAGCGGCCATTGTGAGGTTATTAATCGGCCTAATTTTAATATGATTGTGTGTCAGAGAATAAAAGGGCCTGTGGAGAGGGAGGGAGGCCGAGGAATGCCGGTCACTGGAGCACACAGAACACACACAGCATTTACCAATGAAGTTTGCCATTTCATATGTGCATGGTTCGTAGTGCCCCAAAACAAGTAGAAAAGCCACAGCAAAAATCGCTGATCACAGATCACCATAACAGATGTAATCATAACAAAAAAAGTTTTAAGTATTGAGAGAATTACCAAAATACGACACAGAAACAAAGTGAGCACATGTTTTAAAAAAAACAACTGTGCCAATAGACTTGCTAAACACACAATTGCCATAAACCTTCACTGTGTAGAAAAAATGCAGCATCTGTGAAGTGCGATGCAGTATCTATGAAAATGCAGTGTCTGTGCAGTGCGGTGCAGCGTCTGTGAATCTGTGAGGTGGGGCGCGGCGTCTGTGAGATGCGGCGCAGGGTGTGTGAGGTGCTACGCGGCGTCTGTGACGTAGGGCGCAGGGTCTGTGAGGTGCGGCGCAGGGTCTGTGAGGTGTGGCGCGGCGTCTGTGAGGTGTGGCGCGGCGTCTGTGAGGTGCGGCGCGGCGTCTGTGAGGTGCGGCGCAGGGTCTGTGAGGTGTGGCACGGCGTCTGTGAGGTGTGGCGCGGCGTCTGTGAGGTGTGGCGCGGCGTCTGTGAGGTGTGGCGCGGCGTCTGTGACGTAGGGCGCAGGGTCTGTGAGGTGCGGCGCAGGGTCTGTGAGGTGTGGCACGGCGTCTGTGAGGTGTGGCGCGGCGTCTGTGAGGTGTGGCGCGGCGTCTGTGAGGTGTGGCGCGGCGTCTGTGAGGTGGGGCGCGGGGTCTGTGAGGTGGGGCGCGGGGTCTGTGAGGTGTGGCGCGGCGTCTGTGAGGTGGGGCGCAGGGTCTGTGAGGTGTGGCACGGCGTCTGTGAGGTGTGGCGCGGCGTCTGTGATGTAGGGCGCAGGGTCTGTGAGGTGCGGCGCAGGGTCTGAGGTGTGGCGCGGCGTCTGTGAGGTGCGGCGCGGCGTCTGTGAGGGGCGCGGCGTCTGTGATGGGCGCAGGGTCTGTGAGGTGCAAAGGCCATTTAGTGTGTGGCCTTAGTTAATTTTTTGTTTTCAATTTTCTGTCTCTCATGTTATTGATCTGTAAAAGGAGCATAATCGTAAGTGTCTCTTCTTATTAGGTTACTTGTGAGGCGTAAGTGAAGTACTATGTGTTAACTAGTATCATGAAACTACAGCCTCACTCTCCGGAGGAAATAGTGTAATGATAGCGCCGTTTACAGGGTGCACCGTAACAGGAGGCAAAAACAGAGGTGGATACGTGCAGAGAAGTCTTTAGGTGGTCTTGACACTAGAGCTGAATTTGAAGGAAGTTGAGAACTTGTTAGATGAAGGGACCTGAGAACAGGAACAAGTGTTCACCAAGACCGGTCTGTGTGAACACACAGAGGCGGAAATCATGCCAAAACTTGCAGAGTGGCAGGAAACTCCATTCAGCTGGAGAAAGCATACATATGGAGGGAGTGAAAGGAGATAACAGTGGAGAGGTCTGGGCAAATTTAGGCTGACTTCAAGAAGGCAGGAGTTTCCTGTGAAGAAAATTGACTGATACAGATTTGTGTTTTAGAAAAGTCAGTCTGTCAGCAGCTGGGAAGGTGAAGGGGAGGTGTCACACCAGATGTAATAAAATTGGTTAGTGGGATTTAGCCATTGTTTTAAAGAGTGGTGAAGGTAAGGGGAGTGTGGAGAGAGAGAACTTTTTGGAAGTTGGTTATATTGATGGGACATGTGGATGTGACTATGAAGAGACGGAATCAAAAATGGGCCAGAAGTCCTAAATCTGAGCAACCTGTGGCATGTGCACATAAATATGACCCGGGGACATGTGGGTGTGAGAGTCTTTATTTCAGCAAAATATACTAAGCTAGAGGTATAGATTTTGGAATCTTCAACAATTAATTGGCCATTGTGGCCAAGTGAAAACATTAGGAGTCTAAAGATAGAGCTGTGGCCAACACTCATATTTAAAGAAAGGCTTGAGAAGCCCAGTGATGCAAGAAGTGTCAAGAAAATATCACTATAAAAATGTTTGAGAAGCATGGTACTAGTCATCAGTGTTAAATGTGCTTCTGGTGAGGGGTTCAGGAAGTTTCCAATCATGACGGAAGGTGAAGAAGAGTAGGCATCACATAGCAAGAGGGGATGCAAGACACAGGGAGAGAGAGAAGAGGGAGGCACCAGGATGCTTTCAGCAATCAATGTCAGGAAAACTGATAGAGCAAGAAGTCACTCATTGTCACAAGGACGGCACCAAGCCCTTTCTGAGGAATCTGCCCCATGACCCAAACACCTCCCACCAGGCCCTACCACCAACACAGGGGATCACAGTTCAATGTGCGATTTGGAGGCAAAACATATACAAACTATACTAGGTAAGAATATACTAGGTAAGAACTTTTTTCACAAGACCCTAGTGGGACTCCAGACATAGACTGAGCTACTTTGGGGCTTAGCCCTCTCTGGGAGCTCTAAAATTAGAAGTTAGAGACACTATTTGACATTTTATAAAAGCCATCTGCAGTGATGTTCCTGCTAGAGGATTATGCACAGACAATTGCAGCATCAAGGGAATGACTGAAAGTAAGATAGATTCATCCAAATGAGACAACACCACACCAAATGGGGAATGACTGAAGGTAAGACAGATTCATCCAAATGAGACAACACCACACCAAACGGGGAATGACTGAAGGTAAGACGGATTCATCCAAATGAGACAACACCACACCGAACGGGGAATGGCTGAAGGTAAGACGAATTCATCCAAATGAGACACCACCACACCAAATGGGGAAGGAATTCAAGGTCCTTGGTCCTTTTATCTGCTGAAAGTGCTCTTTCAGCTGAGCACAGTTCTTCATCTTAAAGCTAGGCCACAATAGTTGTGGCATGAGCAACTGCCCTGATCCTGAGACACTCACTTCTTCCCTGTCCCCAAACCACAACCAGCCCTCCCGGACAGTGGACCCCCTTCCACACCAGCACAATGACCCATCTTGTGGTTGGCCAAGCCCCTACTGGCCTTGGCTCTTCCCATTCATTGCAGGTTTATTTGAGGGTCTTCTTTACCTTTATATTCTACAGTGATGGAGCATGGCCATCTCCCATTATTTCTCAGTATGGGTGTCATATTTCTGCTTCAGGCAAGCAAGAGGCCTGGGGCTCTCCTGGAAGTTTGCTGGATTCTTTATGTCAACTGGCTTACCTCTACCCAAGAACCCTGCAAAACTACCTAGCCAGGCTGCCAACCCCAAGGAGGCATGCTGGTAGCACCATTCTTCCTCCAGAGTGCTTTGTTCTTCTATTTTATGTAACTAGAAAGATCATTACATTGGAAACATAATTTTAAGAGAAAACGTAAAAACATCAGCAAAACCTAAAATATCATTGAGCTCTGTGGCTCTTCATATGACTCCTTTTCCACCTTTCTTTAAATTACTGAGCATTGCAAATAGAATTAAACATCTCTACTATAATTGAGCAGACAATCAGCAGTCCTCCTAAAAAAATGCTGAAGACATTTGAAATGGAGAGAAAAGTTTACTGTATAAAGCACCCACAAAAATCTTGCACTGGCCAGTGGGATCTTGGGATGACCAGAATTCTCTGGAGAAATTTTTCTATTATCAGCAATTCTCCTAGTTGTGAAAATTAGTACTACAAAAAAAATCAACAACATAAATAACATGTGAAGAGGGAGAAAAAAATGCATTATAACATAGTGGAGTATTTTACTTCTTAAATTGTTCATTAAGGCAGTTTAATAGAAATGTACCGGCTCATTTTGAGGTTATTTAAGATGCTGCATTAGCAATGATTTGTAGCAAATGTTTCATCCAGCGAATTCTAAGTAATTGTGGAAAGATGTAATGAAGCGCCAACTGGCTATGACAGTGCTCTGTGGGTTGTTTCCGTTTCTTGCAACTCCAGTTATTCTTATTTTAAAATAGTGTTCAGTTCTCTCTACAGGTAAAACGTAAAGCATGACTAATTGTCTATATGTAATTCTAATTAATAGCTTTAAGCAAAGCAAATTTACTAAAAATGTGCTAAAACTCAGCACGTATATTATACCAGAACCCAGAGACTAAAAGTGAAATAAAACATGTTTTTGGTGAGATCCTTTGTTCTGTGAGAATTCTACATTGTCAATTCTCAAAAAAGGGTTACATGGATATATTCTCCCAAAAGTATAATAAAGAGCAATTATTTCTAGCAAAGATCAGGAAAGCGTCAATAAATACTACAATTTAATTTTTTAAATGTATGGAGAAGGTCAAACATATATATATATACATGTATACACACATATACACACATGTATATACACATTTAATATCCTTCATTTATTGTATAAGAGGAAATTACCTAGATCATTCATTGGTTGGAAACAGGAGATATTGCTTTCCTTTATTTACTAATATTGTCCCTTTTGACAGTAATGTTTGCTGGAGGATAGACTATCAGATTAATGAGCCTATTCTACACTTTTCAAGAGCAGACTATGACCCAGAGGAAATTCTGCTCTCTGCTTAAGTTGAATAAATGAATCCAAACTGGTCATTTGCATTCACTAACATGTTTTGTCTCTCACATCAGCACCTCTGGAACTAATGTGACCTCCAGGTTTCATATGTGTTTCCCAACCTCAGCCCTTGACATGATCCAGCTCTTTCTTTCTTGAAAATGTAACACTTGCTCATTTGAACTTGATAATTTTAGTCTATAAAACTCCATCCTACACCTCCTTAAAGACTTGAGGTCTCACACACAAAGGAATTTTCCTCTCTATTTTTGGAGAAAGCACATTCAGGCTTTCATCCATATTAGGCCAATCTTGAGGCCGAAAATATGCCTTCTAGAATCTGCCTTCATTTCTTTCTGTCTTTAGTCTACTTTTAATTCTCCAAGGTTAATTTAGCTCTAGTTTCTATTTTGTTTTGTTTTTAGAACTTTTAACTTCTCTGAATGCAGGCTTGAATGCAACCTCTAGTTTTGGCATGAATATCTGTTTCTTAACTGCCATTTCTATTACATTGATTGGTGAACAACAAGACCTCAGTTCAGTGATAAAGCTGTAGTCCTAGACTTACTCACAAGCATAATATAAACACATCATTCCTTTCTTTCTTCCCAGATCCTTGTCTCACAAAGTATCCTGTATTTGGACCATGCCAAAAACTGTAAAAAGAAAATTTAATTTTCCTTTCTAGTGAAAACTCATATGAGATTCTACCTGCATTTGGAAAATATGATGTATTCTTTGTGGCTTCCTCCTTATACTAGATAATGTACAAAATCAGTTAATAAAGAGGCCCTTCATGCTAATAGCAAGCATCCAATTTGAATATACAGTGGTTATATAAAAGAACATATATGAAGTATAGCTTATCAGAAAATCAGTGAACATTGACTTTTAAAATATGAAAAAACAATAGGATCTACTTTTTAAAAATATAATTTAATAGGCAGTCATATTAAGACCATTTATAGTTTGTTTGGAAAAACATCAGGGTGGACATCTTCAATCTTATACAACATTGAAACAAATTTATTTTGGAATTCAAAAATGTAGAATCATCTTGTACATGAGGAGTCATGCCTTTTCAATACAAAAAACAGTGAACATCACATTTAATCGAATCTACGATATCACATTGATATGAGTGGGCTTGAAAAATTCTCAGTCTCTTAAGGAAGAAGTGAGGGGGGCTATATATAGGGGAACAAAAATAATTTTTAGACTAAGAGTAATAATAGCTCAAGCTGACTGAGATGACTGATCTGAGCTCAGAATTGGACACCACAAGACAGTCCTTTGACTTTTAGGAAATGAAGCCATATTTTATCTTTAAGATAAAAGGTAATTATTAAATTCCTCCAGTATCTTAGGCATTCAAAAAGAGAGACATAATGCATGTGTCTAAAACGCTTTCAGATTATACAATCCATTCTCAGAGGAACTTCAGAAATTAGGACAGAAGTAGAAAAAAAAGGAATGTGACTTTTTCTAAAGAAAGGATTAAAGGATTTACAGGAAAATAATTTTTTGTTCCCATTATTTTCCCCTGGAAATGGTGCTTAAAAGAATTTTCATTTATGTTTACATTGAGTTTTTTCTTGTGTGTGTGTGTATGTGTTTGTATGTAAATGAACCTAATTCACAGTAGATGAGTCTAAGATGTAGTAAAAGGTTTTATATCTACCTATCCCAACTGCAGAGAGATGAAAGCCTTAATCAAGTTTGAGCTTGAGCCTTAATCAAGTTTGTACTTTCAAGTTTGAACTTTATGCCTCTTCTTTAATGTCCCTTTAGGAAGACAAACTGATGTGAGGATGAGGAGGAGTCAGAAATAAACTCATTCAACTAATACTTGAGTAGCTACTGTTGCCTACAGTATGTTCAAGGTTTTGCTAGTCATCCATATGATCACTATTGACAGCTTGGGAGACTCACACAGGCTAGTGAATTTCAGGAATTAACAGAAACTGAACAGCTTCTATAATCCTGCAGGAAGTAACCTCTGGATGGCACAGTAAGTACTCCCGTGTCCCTATGGATAACCTGTTAAGGGCCAGGTTTCAGTTAATGGAACCATATTAATTAAGATGTTGAAAGGAAATATGCAGTTTATATGTGGCGAATGTAAAATGCTATTCGTAAAAGATTTCTGAATACACTTTTTAAAAAGAAATTTAAAAATATTATAGTTGTTTCTTTGAAATAATGTTAAGTAATAAATGAAAGTCATTATTCATAGAAAACATTATTGTATATAGAAAATCTTAGGGAATTATAAAATTATAGAACTAATGCATAATTTTAGCAATGTCACAGATTACAAGATTATAAAAACTCAATTTATTTCTTTATTTTAGTAACAAAACATCTGATAATAAAATTAAGAAAATCCCATTTAAGAATAATAAAATACTTAGAAATAAATTTAATAAAACAAGTGTAAAAATCTGAACACTGGAAACTTAAAGAGCTGAGAAAAAATACATACATGCTTACATTCTAAACAAATGCAGAAATATCTATGCCCAGAAGATTCAATAGTGTTAAGACAGCAATTAATCTATAGATTCAGTGCAATTCCTATCAAAATTCTACCAAGCTTTTAAAGAAGTTGACAATCCAATCCTAAAATTTTTATGGAAAAGCAAAAATGAACAAACGAACAAACAAAAATCCCCTAGAACTGTCAAAAAACAATTTCAAGAAAAAGCATAATTAGAAGAATTATGCTGCCTGATTCCAAAGCTTACTATAAAGCTATGGTAATTAAAGCAGTCTGATATTTGCATAAGGATAGACATATAGATCAATGAAAACAATACAGAGTGTAAAAATAAACCACTATAATCATGGCTACTTGATTTTCAACAAAGGCACCTGGATAATGCAAAGGGAAAATAATGATAGCCTTTTTAACAAAGGATGCTGAAGCAACTGGATACTGCGTGCAAATTAAAACAAAATAGCATTGCATATCTAAATGGTTACAACCAAAACACTGACAGCACCAAATGCTGGCGAGGATGTAGAGCAACAGAAACTCAATTGACCATATTTTTTAGGTTTCCCTCTGTATTCTCTATTCTGTACCATTGATCTGCATCTCTATCTCTATGCTACATCTTGCACATTTATTCCAGACATATCCCTAAATATTTATTTTTTTATAAAATTGAAAATGGTATTTGGCCTGGCACAGTGGCTCACGCCTGTAATCCCATCACTTTGGGAGGCCAAGGCGGGTGGATCACGAGGTCAGGAGATCGAGACCATCCTGGCTGACACGGTAAAACCCCGTCTCTACTAAAAATACAAAAAATTAGCCGGGTGTGGTGGCGGGTGCCTGTAGTCCCAGCTGCTCGGGAGGCTGAGGCAGGAGAATGGCATGAACCCGGGAGGCGGAGCTTGCAGTGAGCCGAGAGTGCGCTGCTGCACTCCAGCCTGGGTGACAGAGTGAGATTCTGTCTCAAAAAATATAAACATAAAAAATAAAATAAAATTGAAAATGGTATTTATGCCATTGACCCAGCAACCCCATTATTGGGTATGTGCCCAAAGGAATAGAAATCATTTTATTATAAAGACACAGGCACATGTTTGTTCACTGCAGCACTATTCACAATGTCAAAGACATGGAATCAGCCTAAATGCCCATCAATGATAGACTGGATAAAGAAAATATGGTATATATACAGCATGGAATACAATGCAGCCATAAAAAAGAATGAGATCATGTCCTTTGCAGGGACATGGATGAAGCTGGAGGCCATTATCCTTAGCAAAGTAATGCAGGAACAGAAAACCATACAGCATGTTCTCACTTATGCGGGAGCTAAATGACGAGAACACACAGACACATAGAGGGGAACAACACACAATGGGGCCTATTGGAGGGTGGAAGGTAGGAGGTGGGAGAGGATCAGGAAAAATAACTAACGGGTACCAGGCTTCATACCTGGGTGATGAAATAATCTGCACAGCAAATCCCCATGATACACATTTGCCTATGTAACAAACCTGCACATACTGCACATGTACCCTTGAACTTAAAATAAAATTTAAAATATCTGGCATTTATTTTTAAATTGTAATTTCCAATTGTTCATTGGTAATACATAGAAATATGAGTTCTGGTAGCATTTTGGTAGATTCTCAGGCTTTTCCATGTACATAACTGTCACCTAACAATGTTTCTTCTTCCTTTCAAATTTATACCTTTATTTTTGTATTTCTTCATTGCCCAGTGCATCTAACTCTGGCAGGACCTCCAGTACAATACAGGAAAGAAGTAATAGTGGACATTCCTGCCTTGTTCTCATCTTAGGGGAGAAAATATTCTTCTACCATTAGGAGGATAGATTCAGTTTCTTGGAAGAGGTCCTTTATAAAGTTACACAAATTCCTTTCTATTCCTCATGTTCTGATAATTTTTCATCATGAATGGATGTTGAATTTTGTGAATACTTTTCATTTGTAGAGATTAACATGCTTTATTATTTTACTGATAATGGTATATTACACTGATTTTTTAATATTAAACCAACTTCATATTTGTGAGAAATACTCAAGCTGATTTTCCTATAACATCCTTACTATATACTTCCAAATAACCCATGAGCTCATGAAAAAAGTTACAAATAAAATTAGAAAATATTTTAAATTCAATGACAGTGAATGAATCAACATGCTAAAGGTTGAGGGATGCCGAGAAAACAGTGTTAGAGGGAAATTTAGAACTTTGGATGCATATATTCATACATAAGAAAGGCACAAAATCAGTGATATAAGATTTCACCTTAAGAAATTAGAAGAAAAAGAGAAAATTAAAACTAATGAAGAGTAAGTAGGTAATTATAGTGCCGAAAACAATGAAATACTAAATGGACAAAAGCAACAGGGAAACATGAATATAAACAAAAAAGCTTGTTCTTTGACAAAAATTGATAATCTACTAAGTAGAGACATCAAAAATTAGCTTGGAGGAAGGGACATTACTATGCATCCAATAGATAATTTTTAAAAAACAACACGAATAACTACATTTCAATAAATTTGAATCTTAGAGGACGTGAAGTTTCTCAAGGGCACAAATTACCAAAAAGAGAAATTAAGGAAATTGAATTTATAACTAAAAACATTTCCTCAAGCACTTCAAACGTAAGTGTGAATTCTATCAAACTTTAAAGGAAGACATCATCTCAATTTTATATAGACACTAGCAGAAGACAGAAAAGAACATTTACTGTCTTTGTTTTTGAGACCAACTTAGGCCTCATGGCAAAACCAGAAAAAGATGTCAGAAGGAAAGAAAATTACAAAGCAATATAGATTCCTCCTGAGCAAAGACACAAAATCCTCAACAAAATATTAGCAGAGAAATAAAGTGTTTTAGTGGACACTGAACACTAGGCAGCTGTACCAGGCAGAATAATGATCCTGCAAAGATGTCCACATCCTAGTACCTGGGATCCTTGAACATGTTAGGTTACATAGCAAAAAAGCCTTTGCAGTGATAAAGGATCTTTTTTTTGTTTAAGTAGAGATGGGGTTTCAGCATGTTAGCCAGGATGCTCTCGATCTCCTGACCTTGTGATCCGCCCGCCTCAGCCTCCCAAAGTGCTGGTATTGCAGGCCTGGCCCATCGCGCCCCGTCAAGGATATTAAGATGGGAGTTTACTTTACATTACAAGGTGGGCCCAAGATAATCAGGGGTCCTATAAGGAAAAGAAGGAGGCAGGAGGAGATGCGATGACGGAAGCAGAGGCTGTAGTGATGGAAGGTCACTAGCCGTGGAAGGCAGGAGCCTCTAGAAGCTGGAGATGGAAAGGCAATAGACTCTCTCTTAGAGCCTCCAGAGGGAATGCAGCCCTGAAGACCCATTTTGGATTTCTGTCCTCCAGATGGTAAAATAATGTGTCTGTGTTGTTTTAATAAACTGCATTTACAGTAATTTGTTACGGCAGCAATAGGGAACTAATATAGCAATGCAGAGGTGCTTTTACAATTTTAAAATTTCCGTCCATCTGTAGAATAAGAAGGATGCATAGGTGTATGGAGATAACTTGTAGGTATTTTCAGAGAATAAATAATATAATATTTGCCAATGTTTGAAAAAGTGCTAATTAGTTAGAACCACTTCATTTTATGGACATATTCAGTTAAAAATGGCATAAGAATTTTTTTCTGGCCCAGCGCAGTGGCTCACGCCTGTAATCCCAGCACTTTGGGAGGCCAAGGCAGTGAGATCACGAGGTCAGGAGATCGAGACCATCCTGGCTAACATGGTGAAACCCTGTCTCTACTAAAAATACAAAAAATTAGCTGGGCGTGGTGGCGGGCGCCTGTAGTCCCAGCTACTCGGGAGGCTGAGGCAGAAGAATGGCGTGAACCTGGGAGGCGGAGCTTGCAGTGAGCCGAGATGGCACCACTGCACTCCAGCCTGGGTGACAGAATGAGACTCCGTCTCAAAAAAAGAATTTTTTTCTATTTTCTTATTCTAGAGGTAGAAATTCTAAAACCACAGTTAAAAAAGACTGAAATGTAGAGAGCTGTTATCTCAAGAAAGATATAAGTTAAGATTTCTTCTAGCATTAATTTTTGATAATTTTATAGCTGCTTAAAGATCATATTGGACATCAAATGTTGATACAACAAGAAAATTAGACTTTTTTTTTTTTTTTTTTTGAGACAGAGTCTGGCTCTGTTGCCCAGGCTGGAGTGCAGTGGCGCGATCTCAGCTCACTGCAAGCTCCGCCTCCTGGGTTCACGCCATTCTCCTGCCTCAGCCTCCCGAATAGCTTGGACTACAGGCTCCAGCCCCCACGCCTGGCTAATTTTTGTATTTTTAGTAGAGACGGTGTTTCACCATGTTAGCCAGGATGGTCTCGAACTCCTGACCTTGTGATCCACCCGCCTTGGCCTCCCAAAGTGCTGGGATTACAGGCGTGAGCCACTGTGCCAGGTTAAAATTAGACTTTTAACAGAAGACTTGGTCACAGCATAATGAAAGATTAGATGATATTATCAGTGTAGTACCATATAGATTATGTTATGTCATTTTTAAACTGTGAAGTCACTTTGTAGTTAAGTGGATTTTAAAGCAAACAAAACGGCCAAAAATATTTCTATAATGTCTTACCAAGTAAATGACGTCTAAAGACTTTGTAGTATAAATTATTTTCTGCTCATTGTCCATTTTTTTCACTCAGCCACGAATAACCTTTTATCTCTGAAGGCATTTTGCTTCCTGCCTTCGATAGCTCTTTTTCCCTTTTAACACTTGACTATCTCATGTGGCTGTGAACTACAAATTCTTCTTTTGTTCCTACAAGTCAAAGGAAGCATTATTAGATCTTTACAATATCATGAAGACTATTTTTATTTACTTTTTAATGAGAAGAGGGTAGTTAAATTGTTTTCTTAGGAGATAGTAATAAGCAGCTAAGAGTTCTATTGAGAGTCTCTCAGAGTTTCATAACTATTTCAATCATGTGGACTCTATTTTAAATGAAATATATGCTTAAACGCTATTTGTAAATTACTAAAGTGTGTAGGTGGAAAGAGTTAAGTTAGCCTAAGTTTTAATGATATATTTTACTAGAAATGTTCTGCAACTGTTTTCATCCTAATGTTTTTTGAAGAGGATATTGTGAGAGCCCTCTGCCTCTAAATGTATATTACCCTGGTTTGCTTCCATCCGCCTACATATAAACCACAGATTATTTTCCAGTACATGCAGGTCATCTTTATCTGATACTTCTCAGCTTCTCTGTCCAAGAAAAGTCCCTGCCCTGTATAGGAAATAACAAAATAAATGATGTAAGATGAAAGAAGGTGTGTGGCTCTACATCCTTTGAGATGGATGTACCTGAACATGGACAATAAGCATCCAGATACTGGCCTGAGGAGCAGATGTTGTGGTCACTGAATTTCAAATATTTCATTTGCTAAACACCAGGCTATGGGGGACAGACATACTTGCTGACAAGATTTTGTCTTTGTGAGAATTATAGTTTTCACTGTGCATTAATCAATTCATCTTGGTTCTCGCTGTGCAGGGGCCAAGGGTTGGTTTCTTGAATTAGGAAGTGTTAGTCGCTCTAAGGCTGACCACGTGGGGCCCTAGGGGAAAGCTCCCTGTAGGCTTCCAATGGAAAGGGTGTGGATCACCAGCTTTCTCAGCTTTCTCACTATTGTCTCTTGTAGTCTGTGCATTCTTACAGCCATTGCTGGAGAAAAAAATTAAGCTCATACTAAAGAGTCATATATACATATATCTCAAAAGCATATCTTTGAGTATGAAGAAGACAGTGAATTATTTATTCACAGAAATAATATCTAAAGGGACCCTTTGCAAAGGGACAACTTCAATAAAAAGAAAATCATGCTTCTGTAAGTTGACTGATTGTGACAGCATTCTCTAGAACACATAATAATTAGCTGTGTGTTTCTTACAGAGGTGATTGTCTTATTGCTTTTTAAAACACGTGCTAATGCTTTAATGTTTTGTTTTCAGTAACAGTTTCACAATACTTGAACATTCCCCCAAAAAGAAATTTTTATAAATCTGTCATTTGGTGAAATTTTATGTCTTCAAGTCTTCCAAAGTTAACAAGTAGCAATTTTCTTTGCTTAGACTATTTTCAATACTTAAATTTTTAAATATTCTGCTGCAGAACAGGTATGAATTTAGAAAGCCATAATAAGCAATTCAGCTTGTAATCTTAAAATATCGTTCACTCAACGAGATATTATTTAATCTAGTTCTACGAGTACAAAATACTAACTTTAAAAATGTACTTCTGGTGAAAGTAGTCAGAGTTCTTTTACAGAGAAAATAATGTATTTGTAGAGGTAATAATCCTGGTTCTCAACGACAGATTTTCCTATAATAAGCATTGAGCTAAATGCCATTGTAAAATTAATTATAGATGAGTGCAAATTAATAACATGTATAATGCTGGTCACAAGTCATCTTGATGTCTGTTACTAATTGCAAATCACTGTTACTTGTAAAATTAGAAGTTAAATGCTAGCGATTTTGCTCTAATTGGGAAGATCCAAAGGGCTCTTGCCTGAATGCAGCGCATGTCTGAAGCGTTCAGATGGAAGCTGGTTGTGCAGGCACGCTGCCTCAGGGCATGTGTTCGGGAGCAGTGGGACTCCGGCAAGGACTACAAGATACAAATTGCAAAGCATAGACATATGTAGGGAATTGAAACTGAGTGCTCATGAGGCAGAAGTTAGACAAACATTCACGGGCAAAGTTACAAAAAAGAGTTAAACACAAAAACATACTCTAGAAATCTTGGTAATCAAAACCAGATCTGAACCCATGCCATTTATTTGATGCCAATTCTACCACACTTACAATTGAGCTCATGTAAACTAGACATATGGAAATTGCTCATTTAGCCAAGGAACTTGATGTAAATGATGTTAACATTGCTGCCAGAGCTGTGTGGTTTTTAACCCAATTGAGGTTGTGTTTGTTGTCTTATTTCTGCAACTCTAACAAAATAGAACAAATTTTATTTCACTTTTTTTAATAGAACTATGTAGAGGAATGGTCATTCCTCAACTCCCATGACTGGGATTCAAGGAGAGCTGTTCTCAGTCATCTGCATGTGTTTGACTTTCCTGATTGATGACTGCCTTATCTCCATCCCCTGGGAACAGTTCTAAAATATGAACTGAAAGTCAGGGGTCAGTGGATGCTGCGTCTGTGAGACACAACTTCAGAGGTGACTAAACTCTCCCTAGAGCTGCCCTCCTCGAAGATCTTTGTCCTCGGAAATTGTCAGGGGAATCTCAATTTGGCAGCACCAGATGTCCCAGAGTCTAGGGAGTCATCAGGCACTAACTTGGGTTTTTTTAAAGTTTGAATCACAGTTGATTCGGAAAATGATGGAAAGCTGTCAACTAAAGGAAGGTCTGTCGCTCTTTTTATTTTTGCATTGTCTTCAGAGGGAGGCCTTCCTAGAATCCTGACTAGAATTAACTAGATCTGAAAGGAAGGCACGATTTGAAGAGGAGAGGTTTCTACCTAAGCCTTGATGACAAGAGTTCTGAGGATGCTGTGGGCCTGGAGAGAAAACTCAAGCTAAACCAAGTAACTCAGTTTAAATGTAGTTCAGGAGTGATTTGCAGTGACATTGCTTCCTCATATCCTGAGTGTGCCAGTTGGGAAGGCATTCTAGATTTTTAAAGTATATAGCAAATTTCCATGACTTTCCAAACAGTCCCAATTCCCTTTGAGAGAGAAAAACAAACGCTGTTTTGTATTAGAGTGGTTCTCTACCTATCTTCACAGCAAAGGGTCTTAGAACCTTAGAAGATTTGATAATATTTGAAAAATGGAGTCAGAAATTTCTATTGAAGTATTACTATAATTTTGTAGCTCTCTGTGAACCCCACAGGAAATGGGGAATTTGTAACACGTATAACCAGACTAAACAGCCAAGAAGTTTTAGTTTAGACACTGTCCAGGAGAGCTGTTGTGGGGCTTGCAAAGACGAGGGAGATGCAGACCCTGCCTTGGACTTCCTCCTCTGGGAGAAACAGGAAAGGGCCTGGGGTCCATGAAAAGGGCCTCACAGGAGCCAGAGGAGGACATGGACGTGGTCATATTGTCTGCAGAGAGTGTTTGGAAGCCGTGAGCAGATCCTGTGGTTTCAGTAGCTCCCATTTCCTGGACTAGCAGGGGGAAAAAGATGAAGAGATCAATAATAGGTTTGATAAAAGTCCAAATATGCCTTAATAAGAAATTGTCTCTCATGGAGTATACTTCATTAAAGAAAGAAATTTAGAATACCTGCTTTTTTTTTGTTCAGACAATCAGATCAAACAGAGAACATCCACTTTGGTTAGATTATGTGCTGTCATGCAAAGCAATTTACCATAGACATGTACAAAAGAAAAGCTTTTTGTGTGTCTGACAAGAAGTGTATTAGGCTATTTTTTTCTTTCAAACAATGCTTATTACTTTACTGGTCATGGTTTATTGAAACTGTATTAGGGATACTGCAAGTGAAATAGTTCACAAGGTATGTAGCACTTAGTAAATATTCAGGATGCTTTGATTTTACTCTATTATTGGGATGAGCTAGAGGAGGGGGCTGGAGAAGGGGAAATAGGAAAAAGAGAAGAGTGGAAAAGGTCAAGGTTCTTCGTGGCTGTAAAATATTTCCTGTGCTGATCCTTTCCTTCGAGCTGAGAGCTGACCCCTGGCTGTCATGCGTGGACTGGCAGCCTCTTCACTCTCAGCCTTGAGGCCTCCTCTTGAGAGTCAGAAGCTTCTAATTCACAAGTCTGAAACACAGGCTTAGGGCTAATGCACTGATGGTGCAACTGGCTCCTAGAAAATATATCTATAAATTGCATTTTGTATATAATTACATATCAAATTTGTAACTTCTAACTGCTCACTTTTCAAAAAAAAAATGTCATATCCTCTCTGGTTTTTTATTTTATTATTTTTTTTTTGACAGAGTCTCACTCTGTCGCCCAGGCTGGAGTGCAGTGGTGTGATCTCGGCTCACTGCAAGCTCCACCTCCTGGGTTCAAGCAAATCTCCTGCCTCAGACTCCCAAGTAGCTGGGACTAAAGGTGCCCGCCACCACGCCCAGCTAATTTTTTGTATTTTTAGTTGAGATGGGGTTTCACCATGTTAGCCAGGATGGTCTTGATATCCTGACCTCGTGATCCGCCCGCCTCGGCCTCCCAAAGTGCTGATATTACAGGTGTGAGCCACTGCACACCGCCCGCCGTCCTGTTTTTAATATAAGTATTTTCATTACTATACTCTGGAGTACCTGGAATATAGATTCTAGTTTTTCCACAGGCTTTTCAACAGACTGAAGAATTGAAAGATTTTACACTCATATTGTTATTTATTTGAATATGCACAAGAAACAGTGAGTTTTCGTTCTCATAGTGTGATGTGAACGTATAAATACTGGCTGATTTACTTGATATTACTATTTTTAATTCTCCTTAAAATATCTTGGAGATTTTTCTCTTCTGATGTTATAATGATATTAATTTATGGCAAAAACATTTTTTCAGTATTGCTTTACTGAATATAAACAACAAAATTTTAAAGACCAATAAATACAAGTAAAAGCCCCCTTTTCTAATTCCGTAAGGCACGTAGCAGGCATTGTCCTTGACCACACTGAGTCACAGCACTGTGTCCTCTTGTGGGTAGTCACATCTGATACTGAACCACAGCACTGCGGTCTCTCATGGGTAGTTAAACCCGGGTGTCCAGTCAAATAAACACGTTTATTTTTAATAACATTACTTTTCAGGGAGCTGTAAATAAGACAGAAACATTTTCTTTAAAAATTTTAGAAGAAGGGGCAGGTGTATGTGAACATGTATGCTTTTACAACTTGCAAAAAAAAACTATATGGAATTTTTTTTCACTACTGTAGAAGTAAAAGTATCCTAGATTTGGGTGGTGATACAGTTTCATCCCCATCCTGAAAAAAGTAGAACTTTTGAAAGAAAAATATGCATCCCATAGACCTCAAATGTAAAGTTGGTGTTTAATAATACATGCAATTTCTCTACTATTAAAGTTTGATATCTGGAGCTAATACGCTCATTCCTGAAGGATTATTTTCCCAAAACACATTGGGGCCAGTGTTCGGTTCTGTGTGTAAGGGTCCGTCCATAGTGTGTTTCTCGCAATTCCATCCAGTCACCTAGTTAACAGACCAGACGGTTTCTGAGGCAACTATTCTTTCCCTTAAATGAAACATGTACCACTATTTTACAAGCTCTTATCAGATACTATGGGATGTGATTTGCTTCAAGCTGTGAGGCAAATCTGGCAATCCAGTTAAAATCAACATGAAAGTTTGTAAAACAATTTGTGGTCAGCAGTGAAAAGTGCTGGGTTGATCTCTAAATGAGTAAAAATGTTACCCATGAGGGCAAGAAGTACAGGATAACGTACAGATAATGTTCTGTTTTTTTTTTTTTTTTTTTTTTTTTTTGCATCTGCCAGCGGGTGCAATTTTAAATAAATTAACCCAGCACTCCCATGAATGCCACGGGTATTGCAGAACTTGTATTTCTAATTTTCATTCATTAGCTCACCTTTCTTAGCTTTGTTTTTATAATACATAACTTGGCCAAGATATTATTAGGTTTTAGTTTCTTAAAATGTATTTGTTTTTAGACCATCCTCACTAGGTGAAGAATGTTGTCTCTCAGTCTCCAGGCTGGGCCCCACACACACACCCAGAACGTATGTGAGCCTCTGAGGAGCAATGAGTACACCACTGTGACTCGTTACTGAGTTGGCCTACTCACTGCTTCTTTAAAATTGCCCTTGACTTTCGGAACAACATTCTTTTAAAGTCAGCTATTTATTTTCCACAGGGCTGGTGTGTGCTACTGTATATTTTAGCTTCCATCTTTTCATCATTTACTCACAAGGCAACCCATCATCTAAAATAATACAATTAAGCAAAGGCTCAGCCAAAGAGTGAATATCCCTGTATGGGAACGCTGGAAAACTGGCCAGCAAGATTTCCCCAGAGGTGTGCATAGCTCACTTGAATTCTAAAAGTGTTTCAGCTAAATTACATAGGTGCCAACGTTAAGGTGAAAAAATAAGATCTTACACAATGATATATTTTAAATCTATATCATATGGATTCCTCATGTTAGCACAAATAAGATGTTACTTGTCATCGCTAAAGAACAGAGGTGACAACAATAACAAGTACTTTTATATTTATACTTGTGAAGCTTTAATTAAATTCTAAAAATTAAAGCTAAGATCTCATTCCCATGAGAGATCCAGTCATAGCATAAGGATGCCAAGTGTTACCCTATCCCGATTAACTTTACCAACAGAATTTGAGGAATCCAGGCTTAATATATTTTAACCACGATTCTCTGCTGAATGAACCTGGTTGAGCTGTTTCTACTTCTCCGAGGCTTGGTTCGATGTCTTTGGCAAATAGCCCACTCCTGTAGCTGTGCCAGTTGGAATGTAAAAGTTAAGCCCATTGGCCTTTTTGCTGACCTGTTATTAAAGCATTTGATGTAAGTTTCAGCCACTTCACACACTGTCATCCAGCCCTTAAGGAGTATTGAGGTAATCTTTTACAAAAATGAAGTAACAGGAGATGTCTTTTCATGCATAATACATTATGCTGGACCTTGCAGACTTCAACCCAGGATATCTCAGCCACTGATAGGTGCCAATGACAGAACTCGAAGATACTACCTCAGTCTACAGCACACGCTGCTTATATCTTTTCACTTTGTAGCTGGAAGTAGCCTTTTCCAATGGCTCCAAAGTCTGCTGATTTGCAAGCCACACTTGCAGGTGAATGCTGCAGCTTGTCTCAAGTCCTAGGGACTTGCCTCCCAAATGTAATCTTAAATAAAACATGAATCAAATTTTGTAAAGAGTTTATAAAGCAGCCCAGCCAAGTTAGCACAACTTAGTTTTAAGAGGCATTCCAATACTTACATGGTGCTTGTGGAAAAAAATCAATGTGACTTAAAGTCAGAAACCAACCGCACCATTTCTCACTGTTCTTTCCCATCGAATTCTTCACACCTGTTTGTTCAGTTTGGTTTCGGTTGTTCGGTTTCTTTTGAACTTCTGTTGTAGCATATTGTTTGCTCAGCATACTATTATTTTTCATTTTTCAGGAACTTACCTTAAATAGACATCTTTTTAATAAGCATTGTATATATATGATGGTCCCAATATATGTTGGTCTAGTCCAATATTATCCCAAATGTCATATTATGGATTAAATCAGTTTCCCTGGATTGACCAGTACACTAAGCCATCATGTATGACATTGTTTCTTAAGGAAAACCTGCCGTGAATTCAAAAAGATCCAATTTTAAATGGAGTAGTGGAGATCCTAAGTCTAGGATCCTTTATTAATGCCATGTTCCCTCTTTGCAAAATGCTAATTACTTCATATGGGAAGCCTGTGTTTGCTTAACTTTCTGTTAAGTTTATTTATTTAATTTAATTTAATTTTTTTTTCAGATGGAGTCTCACTCTGTTGCCCAGGCTGGAGTGCAATGGCACAATCTCAGCTCACCACAAGCTCCGCCTCCTGCGTTCAAGTGATTCTCCTGCCTTAGCCTTCTGAGTAGCTGGTATTACAGGTGCCTGCTACCATGGCCAGCTAAGTTTTGTATTTTTAGTAGAGACAGGGTTTCACCATGTTGGCCAGGCTGTTCTCAAACTCCTGACCTCAAGTGATCTGCCCGCCTAAGCCTCCCAAAGTGCTGGGATTACAAGCATGAGCCGCCGCACCCGGCCTCTGCTAAGTTTACAACCTGCAAATTCTATCCAAAATATATACATATTTTCTTGTATTTTTCATTTAATGCACCAAAATAAAAAAAAAATTGTTTTTCATTTTCTGCTGGTTATTACTTAGAGGCTAGATTTATTTTGTAAACTATGCCCTAAATTGTTCCTTTGACTATTTTTAAGTTTATCTACCTACTCTGAAGTGTGGAAGGTGAGAGTAATGAATTGGCCCAGGTGAAATCTAATCATAGATAATAAAGCTGCTGCTAATAAAAATGCTCAAGTAACCCTCAAGCTAAGTAAGACTCTGCCCCCAGCAAAAATAGAACTTTAAAACATGCTATGCTACCATTAATAGGAAAAAAAAATGTAAATTCATTCAAAAAGTTTAGTAAAGGAAACTTTAAATATTTTCTGAAGAACTCAAAAGGAATAGAAGCAAATTGTATAATCAAAATTCAGGATATGACTATTTAAGAAGTAATCAACTGAGCTTGCAAAACATGTATTGTAGTTTAGAGATTTTTGCAGTTTTTGCACTTTCCTACATTTCTTAAAATAAATATATAAACAAATAAATGTACAATTTCAAATTGTGATTGTTAGTATGAATATTTTAAAAGATGAAAAAAGAGCTTAAGGAAGTGTGATCTTCCCATGATGGCCTTTGCTGGCCACCCAAACTAAGATTTAATTCTCTCAATCTCACACATCCATCGTTCTTTTCCTTTGTAGTGTAGGTAGCATTTATACTCATATATTTTCCTGTTAGTTTATCGCTTGTTGGTAGAATATAAACTGCAATACGACAGGAACCATGTCTATATTATGTGTCTTCCAACGTCCAACACTACAAAATGCCTGGCACAGTAGTGGATCAAGAAAAATTATTGAGAAAAAAATGGTGGAAAGGAGCCCAGACTAACCTGCAGCTCCCACTCAGACAGACAGAGCCGCCTATGAAGACTGGCATCATGAACTTCTGCTCCAAGAACTACCACAGGAACATACCAGAAAAGCCAGGAGAATCCACAGACCCTTCTGAAGGAGGTGGTTTGCCACCGCAGGCTCCGCGGGACAGCCAAGGAACTGTGAGTTGGCTTTGCTTTCTCAGCTGGAGGCTTGTAGCCCTACTCACCGGCTGCCTGAAAATACACTCCGTGCTGTTGCGGGGACATGGTGGAAGTGAGACTGGCCCTTCAGGCTACCGGATGCGTGGGAGCTGGGTGAGGCCTGGGGCTGCCGGCTTTCCCCCACTTCCCTGGCGACATGTGTGATGCAACAGAAACAGCCATACTCTCCCTGGGAACATAACTCCATTGGCCTGGGAACCACACCCCATCCCCCAGAACAGCAGCAGCAAGCCCTGCTTAAGGACAGTCTTAGCACAGACACACGCTGAACCCTGCCCCACCTGATCATCTTTTCCTACCAGCCCTGGTAGCTGAAGACAAAGGACATAATCTCTTGGGAGCTCCATGGCCCTGCCCACCGCCTGATCCTCCCCATCCTCCAGCAGCTGATGCTCTCTTGAAAGTGCTACTCTCTGGCGCTGGGCTCACGCCTGTAATCCCAGCACTTTGGGAGGCTGAGGCAGGCAGATCACGAGGTCAGGAGATCGAGACCATCCTGGCGGTGAAACGCCATCGCTATTAAAAAAAAAAATACAAAAAATTAGCCGGGCATGGTGGCAGGCGCCTGTAGTCCCAGCTACTCTGGAGGCTGAGGCAGTAGACTGGCGTGAACCTGAGAGGCGGAGCTTGCAGTGAGCCGAGATCACGCCACTGCACTCCAGCCTGGGTAACAGAGTTAGACTCTGTCTCAAAAAAAAAGAACAAAAAGTGCTACCCCCTGGCTGGAGGCCAACCAACACAAAACTGGTACAATAAACAAAACTACAACTAAGGACCCTCACAGATTCCAATTCACTGCCCTGCTACCTCCACCAGAGCAGGTGCTGATATCCACGGCTGAGAGACATGAAGATGGATCACATCACAGAACTCTTTGCAGACACCCCCCCAGTACCCACTACCAACCCAGAGCCTGGTAGCTCCACTGGGAAGCTAGATCCAGAAAAGAAATAAGAATCACTGCAGTTTGGCTCTCAGGAATCCCCACCCTAGAGGAAAAAGGAGAGCACCACACCAAGGGAGCACCTCCATGGGACAAAAGAATCTGAACAGCAGCCTTTGAGTGCCAGATCTTCCCTCTGACATAGTCTACCCAAATGAGAAGGAACCAGAAAAAATTCTGGTAATATGACAAGACAAGGTTCTTTAGCACCTCTGTTAGATCACACTAGCTCACCAGCAATGGATCCAAACCAAGACAAAGCCTCTGAATTACCAGAAAAAGAATTCAAAAGGTTGATTATTAAGCCCATCAAGAAGGCACCAGAGAAAGGTGAAGTCCAACTTAAAGAAATTAAAAAAAAAAAAGATACAGGATATGAATGGAAAAATCTCCAATAAAATAACGTAAATAAAAAACAGTCACAACTTCTGAAAATCGAGGATACACTTAGAGGAATGCAAAATGCACTGGAAAGTCTCAGCAACAGAATCAAACAAGTAGAAGAAAGAATTTCAGAGCTTGAAGACAAGGCTTTCAAATTAATCCAATCTGACAGAGAAAAAAGAATTTTAAAAAAGGAATAAAGCCGCCAAAAAGTTTGGGATTATGGTAAATGTCCAAACCTAAGAATAATTGGTGTTCCTGAGGAAAAAGAGAAATCTGAAAGTTTGACAGACATATTCAAGGAAATAATTGAGGAAAAGTTCCCTGGCCTTGCTAGAGATTTAGACATTCAAATACAAGAAGCTCAAAGAACACCTGGAAAATTCATCACAAAAAGATCAACACCTAACTACACAGTCATCAAGTTACTTAAAGACAAAGGAAAGAATTTTAAGAGCTGTGAGGCAAAAGCATCAGGTAACCTATACAGAAAAGCCTATCAGATTAAGAGCAGTTTTCTCAGTAGAAACCCTCCAAGCCAGAAGGGATTGGAGTCCTATCTTTGGCCTCCTTAAACAAAACAATTATCAGCCAAGAATTGCGTATCCAGTGAAACTAAGCTTCATAAATGAAGGAAAGATGCAGTCTTTTTCAGACAAACAAATGCTGAGAGAATTCGCCACTACCAAGCCAGCACTACAAGAACTGCTGAAAGGAGTTCTACATCTTGAAACAAACCCTCAAAATACACCAAAGTGGAATCTCCTTAAAGCATAAATCTCACAGGACCTGTAAAACATAACACAATGAAATAAAAAAAGTATTCAGGCAACAAATAGCATGATGAATAGAATAATACCTCATATCTCAATATGAATTTTGAATGTAAATGGTCTAAATGCTCCACTTAAAAGATACAGAATGGCAGAACTCACCAAGTATCGGCTGTCTTCAAGAGAATAACCTGACACATAAGGACTCACATAAACTTAAGATAAAAAGGTGGAAAAAGATATTCCATGCAAATGGACACCAAAAGCCAGCAGGAGTACTATTCTTATATCAAACAAAACAGACTTTAAAGCAACAGCAGTTTAAAAGACAAAGAGGGACATTATACAATTATAAAAGGACTTGTCAAACAGGAAAATATCACAATTCTAAATATATATGCACCTAACACTGGAGCTACCAAATTTGTAAAATAATTACTACTAGACCTAAAAAATGAGATAGAGAGCAATGGAATAGTGGGGGACTTCAGTACTCCACTGACAGCAATAGACAGCTCATCAAGACAGAAAGTTAACAAAGAAAGAATGGACTTAAACTATACCCTACAACAAATGTACTTACCAAATATTTACAGAACATTCTACCCAATAACTGCAGAGTATACATTCTCTTCATCAGCACGTGGAACATTCTCCAAGGTAGACCATATGATAGGCCACAAAAAAAGTCTCAACACATTTAAGAAAATCGAAATTATAGCAAGTACTCTCTCAGACCACAGTGGAATAAAATTGGAAATCGACTCCAAAAGGAATCCCCAAAACCACGCACATAGAAATTAAATAACCTGCTGCTGGGTAATCACTGAGTCAACAATGAAATGAAGATGGAAATTAAAAAAGTATTTGAACTGAAAGATAATAGTGACATAACCTATCAAAACCTCTGGGATACAGCAAAAGCGATGTTAAAAGGAAAATTTATAGCATTAAATGCCTATATCAAAAAGTCTGGCTGGGCATGGTGGCTCACGCCTGTAATCCCAGCACTTTGGGAGGCCAAGACGGGCAGATCACGAGGTCGGGAGATGGAGACCAGCCTGACTAACACAGTGAAACCCCGTCTCTACTAAAAATACAAAAAAATGAGCCAGGCGTGGTGGCGGGTACCTGTAGTCCCAGCTACTCTGGAGGCTGAGGCAGGAGAATGACTTGAACCCAGGAGGAGGAGCTTGCAGTAAGCCGAGATCGCACCGGCGACTGAGCAAGACTCCATCTCAAAAAAAAAAAAAAAAAAAAAAATTTCTGAAAGAGCACATATAGACAATCTAAGGTCACAATTCAAGGAACTAGAGAAACAAGAACAAACCAAACCCAAACACAGCATAAGAACAGAAACAACCAAGATCAGAGCAGAACTAAATTAATTTGAAACAAAAAAAATACAAAAGATAAATGAAACAAAAAACTGGTTCTTTGAAATGATAAATAAAACTGATAATCCATTAGAGAGATTAACCAAGAAGAGAAGAGAGAGGATCCAAATAAGCTCAATTAGAAACAGAATGGGAAATATTACAATCAATACCACAGAAAAACAAAAGATCATTCAGGGCTACTATGAACACATTTACATGCATATACTAGAAAACCTAGAGGATAGAGATAAATTCTTGGAAATATGCAACCATCCTAGATTCAACCAGGAAGAAATAGAGACTTTAAACAGACCAATAACAAGCAGTGAGATTGAAATGGTAATTTAAAAATTGCCACCAAAAGAAGTCCAGGACCAGATGGATTCACAGCTGAATTCTATCAGACATTCAAAGAAGAACTGATACCAATGATATTGACACTATTCCAAAAGAGAGAGAAAGAAGGAATCCTCCTTAAATCATTCTATGAAGGCAATATCGCCCTAATACCAAAACCAGGAAAGGACATAACAAAAAAAGAAAACTACAGACCAATATCCCTGATGAACATAGATGCAAAAATCCTCAACAAAATCCTAGCTAACAGAATTCAACAGCATATCAAAAACATAATTCATGATCAAGTGTATTTCAGTCCAGGGATGCAGGGATGGTTTAACATTCACAAGTCAATAAATGTGACACATCATATGTATAGTGTTAAAAATGACATGATTATCTCAATAGATGCAGAAAAAAACATATGACAAAATCCAGCATCCCTTTATGATTAAAATGCTTAGCAAAATGAGCAGAGAAGGCACATACCTTAAGTTAATAAAAGCCATCAGCCAACATTATACTGAATGGGAACAAGATATACTGGCACAAGACAAGGATGCCCACTTTCACCACTTCTATTCAACATAGTACTGGAAGTCCTAACCAGAACAATCAGACAAGAGAAAGAAATAAAGGGCATCCAAATCAGTAAAGAGGAAGTCAAACTGCTACTGTTTGCTGATGACATGATTGTATACCCAGAAATCCCTGAAGACTCAAAAAATTCCTAGAACTGGTAAATGAATTCAACAATGTTTCAGGATACAAAATTAATGTACACACATCAGTAGCCCTGCTATACAACAACAGTGAACAAGCTGAGAATCAAATCAGGAACTCAGCCCCTGTTACAATAGCTGCAAAAAAGCAAACAAACAAGAGCAACAAAAAACTTAGGAATATACTTAAACAAAGTGAAGGACCACTACAAGAAAAACTACAAACCACTGCTGAAAGAAATTGTAGATGACACAAACAAATGGAAACACATCCCATGTTCATGGGTGAGTAGAATCAATTTTGTGAAAATGATCATATTGCCAAAAGCAATCTACAAATTCAATACAATTTCCATCAAAATACCACCATCATTCTTCATAGAACTAGAAAAAATCCTAAAATTCATATAGAACCAAAAAAGAGCCTGCATAGTCACAGCAAGACTAAGCAAAAAGAACAAATTTGGAGTCATTATGTTACCTGACATCAAACTATACTATAAGGCCATAGTCACCAAAACAGCATGGTACTGGTATAAAAATAGGCATATAGACCAAAGGAACAGAATAGAGAAGCCAGAAGTAAAGTCAAATACTTACAGTCAACTGACTTTGACAAAGCAAACAAAAACATAAAGTGGGGAAAAGACACCCTATTTAACAAATGGTGCCAGGATAATTGGCAGCCACATGGAGAATGAAGCTAGATCCTCGTCTCTCACCCTACACAAAAATCAACTCAAGGTGGGAGACTTAAGTCTAGTACCCAAAACCATAGAAATTCTAGGAGATAACATCAGAAAAAACCCTTCTAGACATTGGCTTAGGCAAAAATTTCATAACCATGAAATTTCATGTCTTAAATATTGCTTTTGGCAATATGATCATTTCATGACTTAATTAAACTAATTAATTTCATGACTTAATTAAACTAAAAAGCTTCTGCATGGCAAAAGAAATAATCAACAGAAGAAACAGACAACCCACAGAGTGGGAGGAAATCATTGCAATCTAAACATCTGACAAAGGACTAATATCCAGAATATACAAGAAACTCAAAACAGCATGAAAAAACAATCCTATCAAAAAGCAAGCTATGGACATGAATAGACAATTCTCAAAAAAAGATATACAAATAGCCAACAAACATATGAAAAAATGCTTGACATCACTAATTATCAGGGAAATGCAAATCAAAACTACAATGTGATACCTCCTCACTCCTGCAAGAATGGCCATGATTTGGTTTGGCCATGTCCCCACCCAAATCTTATCTTGAATTGTAACTCCCACAATTCCCACATTTCATGGGAAGAACCCAGTGGGAGGTAATTGAATCATGGGGGAGGATCTTTCCCCTGCTGTTCTCCTGATATTGAAGAAGCCTCACAAGATCTGACGGTTTTAAAAACAGGAATTTCCCTGCACAAGCTCTCTTCTCTTGTCTGCCACCATGTGAGATGTGCCTTTCACCTTCCACCATGATTGTCAGGCCTCCCTAGCCACGTGGAGCTGTAAGCCCATAAAACCTCTTTCTTTTGTAAATTGCCTAGTCTTGGGTATGTCTTTATCAGCAGTGTGAAAACAGACTAATACAGGCCATAATTTAAACATAAAAAAATAATAAATGTTGGTGTGGATGTGGTGAAAAGGGAATTTTTACATTGCTGGAGGGAATGTAAACTACTACAACCACTATGAAAATCAGTGTCAAGATTCCTTAAAGAACTGAAAGTAGATCTACCATTTGATCCAGCAATCCCACTCCTGGTTATCTACCCAAAGGAAAGAAATCATATGAAAAAGATATTTGCACACGCATGTTTATAGCAGTACAATTCACAATTGCAAAAATATCCATCAATGAGTAGATAAAGAAAATGTATACACACACATATGTGTGTATGTGTATATATACATACATACACACACACATTCCATGGAATACTAGACAGCCATAAAAAGGAAAGAAGTAATGATATTCACAGCAACCTGGATGGAATTGGAGACCTTTATTCTAAGTGGAGTAACTCAGGAATAGAAAACTGAACATCCTATGTTCTCACTCATAAGTGGGAGCTAAGCTATGAGGATGCAAAGGCATAAGAATGACACAATGAACTTTGGGGACTGGGGCAAAAGGTGAGAGGGTGGTGATGGATAAAAGACTACACAGTGGGTACAGTGTGCATTTTTCGAGTGATGGATACACCACAATCTCAGAAATCACCACTAAAGAACTTACTCATGTAACCAAACACCACCTGTTCCCCAAAAACCTACTGAAATAAGAAAACTAAAAGAGGAAAAATTATTGAAAGAAAGAGTGTTGAATGTGCATGTAATTCAATGGACACTGTTGGCAACTGAAAAACTATATGCAGTCTCATATAAAGGATAAAAAAATGAAGATAGTTGTTTTGGATTCTGAAAGGTTGTGCAAGAGATGTTTAATAAAAGAAACTCACAGGACCTAGGTTTTGTAATAGAGAGGTAGAGGAGACGGTGGACTGAAGTATTAGAAGAGAAATAACCAATAGAGCCATTAAATAACATAATCTGTAGGTGAAACAGAGCACCCACTCTATGGAAACGAATCTAGTACCCATAAAGTAGTTGATGGAGCTCCTCAGAAAGAAAGGAGATTTTATTTGCATTAGATATGTATTATAAAACTAGGACCTTGTTTTTAGGGATGACAGTGTAATTGTGAGAATATTTCACAAAAGAAGAAATATAAATCCAACTTCTACAGCATTGATAAGAATATACATTTATTTCCCAAGGATTTCATGGTGAGAAGAAACTCAGGAGGCACATCAAACATTAAACCAAAACATCCCTGGTTACATCCCTGGCCTTTTCTCCTCATTACAGATATCCTCACCCTTTTAGAATGACTTTAAATCTCTCGATTCTGTCTTCCACGTAAACACGTTTTAGCTTCTGCGACTGTCACTCTAATCCCATTATCCTCTTACTCAACTTCAAATTTTTACTGTTAGGCCTAATGTTTTTCTTTTTTTTTTTTTAGATGGATAAATCCAGCCTTATTTTGCTACTCCAAAGTCATCTGCACCTATCACCTCAGAATTCATTCTTTTTTTTAAAAAAAAAAAAAAAAGGCCTGAGGAAAGGAAAGAATGGTAAGTAGCTAGTAAAATAATTTAAATGCTTTACACCACATGAGAAATCTACATATATTATAGAAAGTGTGCTAAAGGGAATCAATACGCTCACCTTGAAATCTCTAGATGCCGAAGTTCCATTGCTGGAGAATAAGGCACAAAGAATTCTGCATGAGGGCCCCAAAATCTTTGAGAAGAATTTATAAAAAGGACTTTTAGAATGGTGGTACATACTTAAGGGATGAAGCTAAGATCTTAAAAGAAAAAACAAAACAATAGGAAAAAGCAAAATCAAAAAGAAACAAAGGAGCTAATAGATGTCCCCGCTTATTTTGGCAAAAAAAGATGATTTAGATTGGACCGTTGTGGCTTGTTGTAACTAGTTAGTTATTGAAGAGATAAAGAGTTCTGATTGTGACACTGAGGAGACTCAAATGAGGTGAAAAAAGAACAGAAATAGCCACAAATTCTTGAGTAGTAGTTTAAATTACTGGAATGACCATGACGCTGTTTAAGATGTTAATAAATAGTTGTATTCAATGCTGAGGGGACCCCATCCCCTGGAATTAATGAGAGAAAGGAACACAGTTGCAGAGCTGGATACAAGGGTAGCTCAGTGACAGCACATGTCAAAGTCACCACTGCACCAAGCACCCAAGTCTGGCCAAGTGTGACAGCCCGTCATTTCCATGACCTTCGCACATCTTCCTTAATCTTGATTAGCATTCTCAAAGTCAATCTAATTTCTCACTCAGTGAGAGGCCTTCACTTTTCAAAAATTCTTCATCTTTGGGATAGTTAAGAATATGATATTTAGGATAGAGGAAAGCTTTCTAAATTGTCCAAACTTATTACACAAAATGTACATTGTTATTCAGAGCCATTATATTAACATCATTTTTATACAATGCTGAATTATTAGTGATATTGAGGAATTCATACTAAGTGAATCCAAACATTGATTTTTCTAAACATCTATGATTTTTCCAAACATTTGTGACTTTTCAGATCTTGTGACTGCCTTTTTAAAATTTTTCTGACCTGCTAATCAGGTCACTGTCATTTTTTGTTTTGTCAGTCTCTCTCTCTCTCTCCCGCCCTCTCTATCTCTGTGTCTCTCTCCATATATAAATGGAAATATATATATATCTGTTATGGTCTGAATGTGTACCCCAAAATTCATGTGTTGGAAATTTCGTTTTCCATGCAACAGTGTTGGGAGATGGAGTTTAATGGGAGGTGATTCAGTCATGAGACACTGCCCTCATGAATTGACTCATTCCACTAAAAAAAGAACTATTCTGCTCCTCTGCCATGTGGGGACACAGCATTCATCCCCTTGTTGTCCATTTGCCTTTCGTCATGTAAGAATTCAGCAAGAAAGTCCTCACCAGATGCTGGTGCCTGGATCTTGGACTTTTCAGCCTCCAGAACCATGATAAATACATTTCTATTCTTTGTAATTACCAAGTCTGTGCTATTCTATGACAATGCACAAACAAACTAAGACATGATCTATGTCTATCTATCTATCTATCTATCTATCTATCTATCTATCTATCATCTATCTATCATTTATCTATTTGTCCTGCTGTTTTTCTTCTGAAATGGGCTTTTAAATGTGAACATTTTACTATGTTTGAAATAATTTTAAAATAATACGATCCAAATGAAAGAAAAATGAGCTGTTTAATAAGTAAAGTGTTTATATTTCAATGCAAGCAATTTTTGAACTGAATTTTGCCTAAAAATTATCTTTCTTTCTCTGTCACACACACACACATACATATTTATAATGCCATCATCCTAGCGGACCATTCAGTAAAATAAACATTATGGACAACCTATTCTCTCTTTGTTAAAAATATTACTCTAGTTAAATGCACCCAGTGTATATTAAGCTTATGACTTTTGTCAGTATATTACTTTTTTTGAACTTAACAAACCAGAATTTGGGGTACAATTTATTTTCATTTTTTATTTAGTTAAAATAACATTGATTTGTGTATTTGAGTTTAATTTAAAATTCATAAAAGACACATTTTTTTCTTCCTCAAAATTGGGCATAATTAATTGAAGTCACTATGTTTACTTGCTATAATTATACTTTGGGTAGATGAATAAAGAAGAATTATGTAGTTTGAACACATAGTTAAAAGTTCTTTAAAACTACATTTGTGTTTTTAGAAGGAAATTGTATACAATCCTATTAGCTCATTTATTTGGACTTTTACCATTACTCTAGAGAGAGATAAATGGTATTTTGTAAAATTCATTTTGTTCCTTACAATTTCAGGAATTTACGTTAATGGTATTTAAAAAGAATGTAGAGCCTAAGGGAAAGCAGAAAGATTTTTTAGGTTAATCTTATTAATAATGTTTTGCTATAAAATAATGTTTTCCAAAATTATTATTCTTCAGTCATCATAATAGATGACTTTACTTTTTGAACTATGGTCTTGTTATAATTTCTGAGTTTCTATTAATTACATATGTACATATAAAATCATCTGTTCATAGAGATTTGAATCTTATTTTTCAGCTATGCAAATGCTTCGGCTATATTTAAGGACAAAATTACTTGCATAAATAATTCATTTTTAATATTTGTTAAGCTAAAATTTCTTTACAGAGTATTTCACATTTCATAAATATTTACATTTCAAGGAAAAACAGGCAATTAAAATTTTATCCATTATAGTAATGAAAGAGTAAGCAGAATTTCTTTCTGTATGTTACTGCCATTTTTACATTAGTCTCAATGACAGTAAAATAAATGTCCCCTATGACTTCTCCTCACTAAGTCTCGTTCTATAATGGTTATGTGTTTTTCAAAATTCACTGCCATATACTTTAAAATGTAACTTCATAATTATAGTGATGTATCAAGGCAAATAGATGTCTGTCATACAAAATTACTTTATACTTACCAAATAAACTCAGAAAGTTGCATGAACTCCTTTGCTGTACATCTAATTTAGATGATGAATGAGTAACTTGCTATTTTTTTTTTTTTTTTTTTTTGAGACGGAGTCTCGCTGTCGCCCAGGCTGGAGTGCAGGGGCGCGATCTCAGCTCACTGCAGGCTCCGCCCTCTGGGGTTCACGCCATTCTCCTGCCTCGGTCTCCCGAGTAGCTGGGACTACAGGCGCCCGACACCTCGCCCGGCTAATTTTTTGTATTTTTAGTAGAGACGGGGTTTCACCGTGTTAGCCAGGATGGTCTCGATCTCCTGACCTCGTGATCCGCCCGCCTCGGCCTCCCAAAGTGCTGGGATTACAGGCGTGAGCCACCGCGCCCGGCCGTAACTTGCTATTTTTATAAAATATTTTTTCATTCAGTTGCTATAATATTTGGAGAAGCTGACAGAGCATTGTCAGTTGCGGGACATGTTTCTCATGGCTTTTCTTTTCCATCCTGAATTGCAGCCCTACTCAATAAACTTGACCAAATGAATTCTGCACGAGGTTGCCATTTCAAAGACCATCAATCCAATCCTGCTTAGTGTCTAAGTAGTAGTAATTTAGACGTATAGTGGGAGCAAATAATATTTTAGTTGCATAAGGGAAGCAAATAATATTTTAGTTGTATAAGGGCAGCAAATAATATTTGACTACTACTAAGTAGTAGTAATTTAGATGTATAGGGGGAGCAAATAATATTACTTCCAAGGAATGAGGATGAACAAGTAACGGCAGTGTGACATGATGTATAACAAATAAACCATCCTCCATTTTATAAAATAAATTTATATTCTTAAAAAAAGGAACAGTTCCTGAAATAGCAACATTTATTTTCTGCATTCCTGGAACTAAGTTAGGTGATTCTCTTTTTATTTTTGTAACATCTTATCTGAATCTCATTTGTTACTGTGTATTCTACGTCTCCCTCACACAGATAGGCCAGAATACTCGCATGGTGTAAGGATGCGCAAGTTTAGCACTTGGACACTACACATTGATGTCTGAAGTCCGGTGATTCTAAGGCCATGAAGGCGGCTTCTGAATTGCCACCCTCACTGAGTCTTTAATTTGACGGACGATTTGGCATGTTTTCAAAGCCCAGAGGAACGTCATTGCCAAGACACCACTCTCCTGACTCCACACAGCTGATCTCAGCTTCGCATCATTTCATTTGATCTTCATATTTCCTCAAGTTACCGAGAGACAAACTGTTTTTAGAAGAAGTAATTTACATTAAGGGGTTAAATCCTGGGTATATTCTCAGGAATGATTACTGGGTCATACAGTCGTTCTGTTTTTAGTTTTTGAGGAACTTCCAGACTATTTTCCGTAATAGACATACTAATTTACATTCTCACCAATGGTGTAAAAGAGTTCTATTTTTTCAGCTTCCTCTTCATCACTGTTGTATTTCATCTTTTTCATAAAAGCTACTTTAACAGGTGTGAAGTGATATCTCACTGTGGTTTTAATTTGCATTTCCCTACTGAGTAGTGTACTAAGCATTTTTTCATGTACCTTTTGGCCATTTGTGTGTCTTCTTTTGAGAAGTGTCTGTTTCGGTCCGTGGCCCCTTTTTTAATCTGTTTATTTTTTTCTTGCTATTGAGTTGTGTGTATATATATATATACATATGTGTGTGTGTATAAATATGTGTTTATATATGTGTATGTGCGTGCATATACATATGTGTATGTGTGTATACATATGTGTATGTATGTGTGCATATACATGTGTATATATGTGTATACATATGTATATATGTGTGCATATACATGTATATATGTGTGTATACATATGTGTATGTGTGTATACATATGTGTATATGTGTGTATACATATGAGTATATATGTGTATACATGTGTGTATACATATGTGTATATGTGTGTATACATATGTGTATATACGTGTGTATACATGTGTATATATGTGTGTGTGCATGTGTATATGTGTGTGTACATATATGTATATATGCGTGTGTATACATATGTGTATATACGTGTGTATACATATATGTGTATATATGTGTGTGTACATATGTATATATACGTGTGTGTATACATATGTGTATATATACACGTGTGTATACATGTGTATATATACGTGTACACATGTGTATGTATGTGTGTATACATATGTGTGTGTATACACGTGTGTGTGTGTCTATATATATATATAGACACACACACACTTTTTTAAAAAGAGATGATGCCTTGCCATGTTGTCCAAGCTGGGCTCCCAGGATCCTCCTGCCTCAGTATCCCAAGTAACTGAGACTAAAGGCACCTGGCACAGCACCCTTTAACCCCTTGTAAGAGGTATGCTTTGTTAACCTTTTCCCCAAATTAATATATCCAAGGGCTATCTGCACTCTCTTGTTCTTTACAGTGCTATTCACAACAGGAGAAATAGGAACACTTTTACACGGTTGGAGGGTAAATTAGTTCAACCATTATGGAAGACAGTGTGAAAATTCCTCAAGGATCTAGAACCAGAAATACCACTTGACCCAGCGATCCCATTGCTGGGTATATACCCAAAGGATTGTAAATCATTCTACTCTAAAGACTCATGCACACTTATGTTTATTGTGGCACTGTTCACAATAACAAAGACTTGGAACCAACCCAAATGACCATCAATGATAGACTGGATAAAGAAAATGTGGCACATATACACCATGGAATACTATGCAGCCATAAAAAAGGATGAGTTCATGTCCTTTGCAGAGACATGGATGAAGCTGGAAACCATCATTCTCAGCAAACTAACACAAGAACAGAAAACCAAACACCACATATTCTCACTCATAATTGGGAATTGAACAATAAGAACACATGGACACAGGAAGGGGAACACCACACACCAGGGCCTGTCAAGGGGTGAGGGGCTGGGGAGGGATAGCATTAGGAGCAATACCTAATGTAGATGACAGACTGATGGGTGCAGCAAACCACCATGGCACGTGTATACCTATGTAACAAACCTGAACGTTCTACACATGTACCCCAGAACTTAAAGTATAAAAAAATACAGAAACTACCTAAGTGTCCATCAATGGATGAATGGATATAGAAAATGTGGTATATGTACACAAAGCAATATTATTCAGCCTTGAAAATTGCGGAACGTCCCATTGTTTGCAACAAAATTGATGAATTTGAACAACATTGTACTAAATGAAATAAGCTAGGCACAGAAAGACAAATACTAGATGATCTTACTTATATGTGGACTCTAATAAAGTTGAACTCATAGAACCAGGGACTAGAATGATGGTTACTAGATGCCAGCCATGGAAAGAGAGGAGATGGAGTGTTGCTTATCAAAAGGTACAAAGTTATAGGTAGACAAGAGTAACAGATTTTGAGATTTATTGCACAGCAAGGTTACTATAGTAAATAATAATGTATTAAATATTTCAAAATAACTAAAGGAAAATTTCAAATGTCTCATCATAAAATTTCAAATGTCTCCCCATGATAGGTTAGTGAAGTTATGAATGATAATTAGCTCAATTTAATCATGCCACATTGCTTGTGTGTGTGTGTATATATCATATATATGTGTATATATGTTTCGCATTGTACCCCATAAATGTATACAATTGTAACTTGCCAATAAAAATAAGTAAATAAGTAAAATAGAAAACAACAGAAGAGTAAACTTTTCAGTTATGCATACCTAATTATTTTTGTTTTTACAAATAACCACATTTTCATGAAAATAAAGATATTGACTTCTCAGATATCTAGGACGCCTTACAATTTACTAAGCAACGTGTTTCTAAAATCTTTATTAATTATGCTAAGATACTTAAATATTAGAATTGGCTATTATAGTATTAATAACAGTTTGTCCATTAGATATCTCAATGAAAACTATGTTTGTTTGTTTTCCTTACTTTCAAATCATGTTATAGAGAAGCAAAAAGCTGATATATTTGTTCATTCTTCTGAAAAGCAAATACCAAGCAGAGTGAGACTGGTGAGAAGTTTATGGGGAGAAGATTGTGAAAGACAAAGAGGGAAGGAGCAGGAGTAGGCAGAGAGAACCTCACAGCCAAGAAGGAGGGCTGGCACCTGTGAAAGGACAGTGGGAGGGAATGATTAGTGAGGAAGAGGCTTAGTCAGAGTATCTCTAAAACAGTCTTACCCAGGTCAACTGGGGTTTCCCAAACAAAAGTGGCCCACTGGAAAGCAGCTCCAGACTGGTGCATAGTAGCACCCTTGGCTATTTCAGTTGCTGACTGGGAACTGCTGGGGAAGTGTCTGGGCTTTGTGCAAATGCAGTGATGGGGCCAGAGAGGAAGCACCAGGGCTCCAGTAAACTGTGCTTCTTCCAGCAGGCTGCCTTGAAGGTGAAAGATCTCTACATTGAGTATTACAAAACACTGCTGAAGGAACTCAGAGATGACATTAAAAAATGAAAAATCATTCCATGCTGATGAATACAAAAATTCAATATCGTTAAAACGGCCATACATCCCAAAGCAATTTACAGATTCATTGTTGTTTATTCCTATCAAACTACCAATGACATTTTTTTCACAGAATTAAAAAAAAAACTATTCTAAAATTCATTTGTAACCAAAAAGCCTGAATATACTACAAGGATATAGTAACTAAAATAGCATAGTACTGGTACAAAAGCTGTCACATAGACCAATTGAACAGGTTAGAGAACCCAGAAATAAAGTCACACACTTACTATCATCTGATCTTTGACAAAGTCAACAAAAACAAGCAATGGGGAAAGGACTCCTTATTAAACAAATGGTGCAAGGATAACTGATCAGTCATATGTAGAAGATTGAAACTGGGTCCGTACTTTTCACCATATACAAAACTCAACTCAAGGTGTTTTAAAGACTTAAATGTAAAATCTAATACTATAAAAACCCTAAAAGAAAACCTAAGAAATACTATTCTGTACAATGGTCCTGGCAGACTTCATAATGAAGACTCCAAAAGCAATTCCAATGACAAAAAATGGACACGTGAGATCTAATTAAAGAGCTTCTGCACAGCAAAAGAAACTATCAATAGAGTAAATAGACAAACTACAGAATGGAAGAAAATATTCGCAAACTATGCATATGACAAAGGTCTTATATCCAGAATCTATAAGGAACTTAAATCAACAAGCAAAAAAAAAAAAAAACCTGTTAGAAAGTGGGCAAAGGACATGGACAGACAATTCTCAAAAGAGGACATACATACAGCCAACAAGCATATGAAAAAATGCTAAATATTACTAATCATTAGGGAAATGCACATCAAAACCACAATGAGATACCATCTCACACCAGTCAGAATGGCTATTATCAAAAAGTCAAAAAATAACAGATGCTGGCAAGGTTGTGGAGTAACGAGAAAACATACACACTGCTGATGGGAGTATAAATTAGTTCAGACACTGAGGAAAGCATTGGGAGATTTCTCAAATAACTGAAAACAACTACCATTTGACCCAGCAATCCCATTACTGGGTATGTACCCAAAGGAATATAAATTGTTCTACTATAAAGACACATGCATCCCTACATTCCCTGCAGCAGCGTTCACAGTAGCAAAGACTCAACCTGGACAGCCATCAACATTGCACTGGAAAAGGAGAATGTGGTATATATACACCATGGAATACTCTAGAGCCATAAAAAAGAACAGGACTGTGTCCTTTATGGCAACATGGATGGAACTGGAGGCCATTATCCTAAGCAAACTAATACAGGAGCAGAAAAACAAACACTGCATGTTTTCATTTATAAGTGGGAGCTAAACACTGAGTACACATGGACACAGAAAAAGGAGCAATAAACACCAGGGCATCATTGAGGGCTGGAAGTGGGGAGGAAGGTGAGGATTGAAAAGCTACCTATTGGGTACTATGTTGATTACCTGAGTGACAGGTACCCCAAACCTCTGTGACATGCAACTTACCCATGTAACAAATCTGCACATGTACCCTTGAAACTAAAATAAAAGTTAAAGAAAATAAATAAATAAATAAATAAGCAAACCATTGAAATCAGAAAAAGAAAGAAAGAGAAAATGTGGTATGGGTACAATGGAATACTATTCAGCCTTAAAAAGATGAGGAACCCTATTATTGACAACACCATGGATCAACCTGGAAGACATTACATTAAGTGAAATACGCCAGGCACATAAAGACAAATGCTGTGTGATCTCACTTATATGTGGAATAAAAACGTTGAACTTACAGAAGCAGAGAGAATGGTGGTCACCAGAGGCTGGGGAAAGGGGATACTGGGGAGATGTTTGTCAAAGAACACAAAATTCAGTTAGATAACAGTAATATACTGAAGTCACTTACTGCACATCCCAATGACTATAGTTCATAACAATGTACTGTATACTTTAAAATTGCTTACAGCAAATTTTATGTATTCGCAGCACAAAAAAAAGTATGTGAGGTAATGCATATATTAATTATCTTTATTTTTAGCCACTTTACAATGTATACATATATCAAACCATCATGTTGTATACATAAATATATGCAATTTTGTCAATGTCAAAAAAATTAAATAATTTAAAATGAAATTTAACAACTTAAAAACCTCCTAAGGAGCTACATAAGAAAATGTATTATTAAAACAATTGGAAAAAAATAGTTTCACAAATGTGTGAAAGAGAAGAAATATAATGAGAGGAATTTTTAAAAGATTTGAACTGTGTCTGAGTTGTTTATGAAAAAAATAGCTGAAGCTTACATGTCAAGGCTCTCACATTTGTTAAATTTTGTGATATATGTTTCATATTTTTCTCCACTTTTCTATTTAAAATATTTCATTTAAAAATCTTACTAACAATACAAATTTCATTCTGACCCTCAACATTATTATTTCAAAGTATTTTATGCACAGTATCTTAATTATAATCTTTGGGTTATATTAAAATATTTCTCCACATGGATAAAATAATTGGCCAATTTCAGTATCAACCCCTGAGGACTAAAGAATGTACAACACTATTCACTTTCTTTTGTAGAAAAAAAATTTACTTTAACTTCCTATCAACAGACTTTAGACAATATGAAAGCAGCCTGTATTCCTTGTAGAAGACTTGACAGTCTATGACTGGGTTGGATAAATATTACCTTGAAGCCAAATTCCTAGCAAAATAGTTGAGAAAACACCTCCAAGGAAACTCTTACAGTCAGCTAAAGACTTAATAAAGTAATACAGAATGAGTTCATAAAACAAAGCACAACTGTGATTATGATTACAATAAACCTCACTGGGGAACTGGTATCTATCAAAGATTTTACTTTTTGCCAGAATTTTACTTTCAAAATATCCTACTACAACTGATATTCCCTTGAAAACTAAAGAAAATATTTCACTCAAGAATGAAGCTCTAAAAAGACTCCTCTGACCTATTAGGATTCTGGGTCATTTCCATAAGATTTAATGATTTCACTACTTCGAGGCTATCTGATCTCTTGTAACTGAATTTCTATATCTCATTGGGGATTATCATACTTTACACTCAGTTATAAAATATATGTGTAATCTTTGCGAGGTGGGGAGATTTCTTAGCTAATTGACTCAATATTCCCTAAAAAGAGTTTCTTTGAGAAGTTAAAATGTGATATATTTTTTAAAGAAAAATACTCTCATAAGATCAAAATAAATTTTTCACAGCATTTACTTTCCATTTTCAATTATTTAAATATAGAAATTTAGATTGTAGGTACAGTTCCTATTAATACTCCAAACCTGTGTTATAATGCTCCTATGAAAATCCAAGTTGACCAAAGTTCTAACAGATCTTCTTTTAAATGATATATTACACCTAAAATAAAAGTTTTTTGGCTCCTCTTTTCAAAAAAAAAACCTATATAAAACAAGTTAGGACAGCTATTAATCAGTGTATCAGATTAACCAAATATATCAGATATACAAATATGACAGTATATCAATATAGCAGAGGTATCAATATATCGATATACCAAACCAGAAAAAATTATCTTTGTTGATGTCATTAATGGTGTTTTATTGTTCATAAAGAAGAAGAGAATGAAGAAATCTCTGAAACACGTGATTGATTACTGTCAAAGATACAAAGTATACTCAATTACATTAAAATAAAATCATTGTATTTTGAAAACGCACCCCCTCAGTTATATGTATAACACTAAGTAATTCTATTAGAAATTTTTTATGTTCCACAAATCGATGCTACATTATAGTGTGAAAATTATATCTGCGCTGCAAATCTAGCTTGCCATTAACTATGTACCTCTCATCAAGCTACTTCCCATTATAAGCCTCGGTTTCCTCGTCTGTAAAGTGTTAGCAGTAAAGGCATGTTGGTCTTAAGTGATTGTGATGACAGAATGAGATGACATATAGAAAGAATTTTCTAAGTGGGAGATCTTCAGTAAATAGTCGCTATTTTTATTCAATTCGCAGCTGACACTTAATGGAAAATCCATTAAAAAATTGACAGAGGTCATGCATTTCTTTTTTGACTAAATTTTTAAAAATTTGACTAAATATGTCAATTTTAGGCTAAAGGGCAATTTTCTCATAGATTTCAAGCAAAAATTTCCCTCAATTGCTTGACAATTTTGTTTTTTGGTTTTTTTGTTTGAGACGGAGTCTTACTCTGTTGCCCAGGCTGGAGTGCAGTGGTGCAATCTTGGCTCACTGAAACCTCTGCCTCCCAGGTTCAAGCAATTCTCCTGCCTCAGCCTCCCGAGTAGCTGGAATTACAGGCACCTGCCACTATGCCTGGCTAATTTTTTTGTATTTTTAGTAGAGACAAGGTTTCATCATGTTGGCCAGGCTGGTCTCAAACTCCTGACCTCAAGTTATCTGCCAGCCTCAGCCTCCCAAAGTGTTGGGATTACAGGCGTAAGCCACCGTGCCCAGCTGACAATGTTTTTATATTTTCTTTGAAGGCTTAATTTTGATCTGCTTTGTAGCCAATTCTAGAAATAAATAGACTGATCCAGGAAATTCCACAATTTTAGGTCTTAAATTTTCACAACATGATGATAAATTATGCTAAAGACCATTTGAAATCAATGATGTGTGAGAATCTGTCAAATAAACAATTCATTTAAGATTGTCTTTAGACTCTCTGAGGTCTGATCTTGTATTGTCATCGCAAAACAAAATATACCACATAATCTTAGATGCTGAAAACAAAAAGAGGCTACTCTGAATTAAGATTTAAAGTAATACCACACAAGTATTAGTGAGAGTTGCTATGAGAAATGTTGATTTTAACCATTTATTTTTAGTCTATAACTTGTTAAAATTATTTATTTTTCCCAATACCTCAAATATAAGTCCTTGCTTTTCAAAACTTTCCTCTTTAAATTCAATGGCAGTATCAAAATTTTGTTTGTAAAAATTGATAGATTCCTCCTCTTCTTCCTTCTCTTACTCCTCATTCTCATCCTTCTTGTGCTCCTCCTTCTATCTCAACTTGTCTTCCCTTGTGTTGTAGGTTCTAGGAAAACAGTGCTAACTTCAGCACCTGAAATAACCCAATGCAGGGTTTCTGGTAACAGTAATTTCTCTTCTCCTTTCCTCTTTTTATTTCCTGATTATCCTCTTTACAGTATATCCATGCGTATAAGTTGTCCCCACATTTTTAAGAAAACATATGCCAGGCACAGTAGCTCACGCCTGTAATCCCAGCACTTTGGGAGGCCGAGGTGGACAGATCACAAGGAGAGGAAATCAAGACCATCCTGGCTAACACGGTGAAACCCTGTCTCTACTACATATACAAAAAATTAGCCAGGCGTGGTGGCAGATGCCTGTAGTCCCAGCTACTAGGGAGGCTAACACAAGAGAATGGCATGAAACCAGGAGGCAGAGCTTGCAGTGAACCAAGATCACACCAGTGCACTCCAGCCTAGGCCACAGAGCAAGACTCAAAAAAAAAAAAAGGAAAATATATAGTATGCCATTATGGTCACCTCTCCCGCACCCGCTGCCATCTCCCCCTCCCCCCACCCTGCCACCAGGTTCATATGTTGAAGTCCTCATGTGTTCGGAATTGGTGGGTTCTCGGTCTCACTGACTTCAAGAATGAAGCCAGGGACCCTCGCGGCAGCTGTTACAATTCTTACAGATGGTGCGTCCTAAGTTTGTGCCTCCCAGTGTTTGGACATCTTCAAAGTTTCTTCATTCTGGGGGATTCATGGTCTCACTGGCTTCAGGAGTGAAGCTGCAGACCTTGGCGGTGAGTGTTACAGCTCTTAAAGGGGTGCGGGTGGAGTTGTTCGTTCCTCCCCTCTGGAGTTGTTCATTTCTCCCGGTAGGTTCGTGGTCTTACTGGCCTCAAAAATGAAACTGCAGACCTTCACGATGATTGTTACAGCTCATAAAGGCAGTGCAGACCCAAAGAGTGAGCAACAACAAGAGTTATTGCAAAGAACAAAAGAACAAATCCTCCACAGTGTGCAAAAGTACCCCACAAGATGGTAGCTACTGGCTGAGGCAGCCTGCTTTTATTCCCTTATCTGACCCCACCCACATCGTGCTGATTGGCCCATTTTACAGACAGCTGATTGGTCCATTTTACAGATACCTGATTGGTCTGTTTTACAGAGAGCTGACTGGTCCGTTTTGACAGGGTGCTGACTGGTGAATTTATAATCCCTGAGCTAGACACAGAGTGCTGATTGGTGTATTTACAATCCTCTAGCTAGACATAAAAGTTCTCCAAGTCCCCGCTAGATTAGCTAGACACGGAGCACTGATTGGTGCATTTACAAACCTTGAGCTAGACACAGGGTGCTGATTGGTGCATTTACAAACCTTGAGCTAGACACAGGGTGCTGATTGGTGCGTTTACAAACCTTGAGCTAGATACAGAGTGCTGATTGGTGTATTTACAATTCTTTAGCTAGACATAAAAGTTCTCCAAGTCCCCACCAGATTAGCTAGATACAGAGTGCTGATTGGTGCATCCATGAACCCGGAGCTAGATAGACACAGAGTGCTGATTGGTGCATATACAATCCTCTGGCTAGACATAAAAGTTCTCCAAGTACCCACCTGACTCAGGAGCCCAGCTGGCTTTGCCTAGTGGATCCCATGCCAGGGCTGTGGGTGGAGCTGTCCGCCAGTCCCGTGCCACATGCCTGCACTCCTCAGCCCTTGGGCGGTTGATGGGACCCGGTGCCATGGAGGAGGGGGTGGCACACATTGGGGAGGCTTGGGCCACACGGGAGCCCATTGTGGGGGGGCTCAGGCATGGCGGGCTGCAGGTCCTGAGCTCTGCCCTGTGGGGAGGCGGCTGAGGCCTGGTGAGAATTCAAACATGGCGTGGGCAGGCTGACAGTGCTGGGGACCTGGCACCCCCTCTGCAGCTGCTGGCTGGGGTGCTAAGCCCGTCACTGCCCAGTGCTGGCAGCACCAGCCGGCCACTCCAAGTGTGGGGCCTACTGAGCCCACAGCCACCCAGAACTCACGCTGGCCCATGAGCGCCATGTGCAGCCCTGGTTCCCGCCAGCGCCTCTCCCTTCCACACCTCCCCAGAAGCAGAAGGAGAGGGCTCCAGCGTCGGCCAGCCCAGAAAGGGGCTCCCACAGTGCAGCGGCCGGTTGAAGCGCTCCTCAAGCGCGGCCAGAGGGGGCGACAAGGCTGAGGAGGTGCTGAGAGTGAGTGAGGGCTGCTAGCACATTGTCACCTCTCACTAACTTCCAGTGGGATGATATTTGAAGATAGGGCTTTGGGAGGTAATTATCAGTTGAGATTATGAGAGTGGGAGCCTGGTGAGATAAGATGAGTGCCCTTATAAGAAGGGACATTATAGAGCTCTCTTGCTGTCATTCTGTGAAAGCACAGAGGAAAGGCCAGGATGCAGCAAGAAGACAGCATCTGCAAGCAAGAAAGAGAGCCCTCACTGGGAACCAAAGCAGCCGGAACCTTGATCTTCGACTTCCCAGCCCCCAGAACTGGGAGAAACAAAATTCTGTTGTTTTAGACACCTAGTCAATGGTATTCTGTCATGTAAGCCCACGAAGACTAAGACATGTACCATTCACTAAAAGTAATTGTAAATTAATATTATTCCTAAATGACATCGTTCCAGAAATTTTTCATTTCCTTCCTTCTTTTCTGTAACTTCTGTGTAGGTAGCCCAAGGCAAATTTCTCTGCAATGTCTCTGCATTATACATTTGCCTCACTACAATCTGAAATACTTTCCTCTACTTCATGCATAATTTTACCTTGTCATTTGAAAAGATATTTTCCCCACTGATTTAAATTTTTCCCATTTCTTATTATATAACTATGATTTTTTTTTTGAGATTGGTTTTGTCAACTTAAGCCCCTACCAGTGATGTATGACTCCCTATTGGTCCAAATACTTGCCAAAACTTAGTATTACCAGGCTGACTGTTCTTGCATTCTGATTGTGGCTGGTCACATCTCCATTTTGAGTTTAATTTGCATATCTTTGATTACTGATACTGTTGTGTAGCTTTCCATGTCTTTACTGGCTTTAGAGAATATTCTTTTTTTTTTTTTTTTTTTTTTTTGAGACAGAGTCTTGCTCTGTCACCCAGGCTGGAGTTCAGTGGCACGATCTCGGCTCACTGCAAGCTCCGCCTCCCAGGTTCACACCATTCTCCTGCCTCAGCCTCCCGAGTAACTGGGACTACAGGCACCCACCACCACGCCCTGCTAATTTTTTTCTTTGTATTTTTAGAAGAGACGGGGTTTCACCGTGTTAGCCAGGATGATCTCGATCTCCTGAACTCACGATCTTCCCACCTCAGCCTCCCTAAGTGCTGGGATTCCAGGCATGAGCCACTGCGCCCAGCCAATATGCCTATGATTTTTAAGGTTTTATAAATAATTTCCCTCAGTTGATAACCTTGCCGTGTGCTTCCCTGAGAAATGGGAGCAATCTGAATAATAGTTTCTCATCTTTATACACGAAACAACAGATATACCTACGTTTGGCATCAGATCTGCCTTTCCTTTTACTTAACCAAAGATTACTAATATCAGAAACCAGTTGCTCCACTGCTGTTTCAACCCCTTTGTCTTCTATAAGACCGCATGACCATGGTTGTCACCAAGCATCCTATCATTAGTTTCTTTGCTGTATAAATTGTATTTTCCCATGATTTATTCAACAAATATGTTTTGATAACTTCCTGTTTTCCAGATATTCTTCGAAGTGCTGGAAATACAATAGAGACTACAATATAGAAAAATTCCTTCTCCATGTTAAAACTCCCATTCTTGTTGAGAGAGGCAAATAACAAGGATAAATTACAGCAAACTTACAAACAGAATTATATGTCTTCTGTTGAGTGACAATGCACATGAGAGAAAACTATAGCAGAGAATACGCATAGTACATGTCAGAAGTGGGAAAATTTAAATAGTGTGATCAAAGAAAGTCCTTCGCTTACCAGGTATTATTTGTGCAAAGACCTAAAAGATGAGGGGAAAGCACATACCAAGTAGAAGAAACAACAGGTACCAAGACTTGCTGTCTGGGTTTAAAAAGAATTCTGATTGGACTGGAGCAAGATCAGTTAGAGAGAGGATAGTCGGCTACAGAAATGTGGTGAGGCCAGAATGAGGAGGGCCATGAAAGACAATGTAATGACTTTGACTCGTACTCTAAGTAAGATGAAACAACTTAGATGAGTTTCAGAGACGTGATGCGATTCAAATTACCTTTTAACAAAACCTTTCTGGTTGTTCCAAGTATAAACTAATATGGATAAAGGATAGAAGTAGGAAGCCTTTTCAGGGAAGTTGTCCCCATAATTCAAGTGAGATGGTGGTGCCTTTGGTTATGGTGGTACTAATTCAAAAGTAAAGATGTTGTCAGATAATTGATTTGTTGATGTATTGGATGGTAGATGAGAGAGAAAGAACAGCTATTTAAGATTTTAGATGGAGGAACTGGAGAGTTCATCACCTGAAGTGCATAAGTCTGTGGGAGAAGGAAATTTCGGAAGGAAGTAGATGTCAAGTGCATGTCAAGTTTTGAATGCCTATAAGGCCTGCTAAAATGCAAGAGGAGATATTTGGTTGGATCTTGGAAGTTTAAGCCTGGAGTTTGAAGGAATGAGAGAAACATAGGATAGAGGTGTAAATCCAGAGTAACTACCATGCAGATGGTTATTTAAAACTGAAATTTTGAGATCATTAAGAAATTAGTGTATACGTAGAAAAAAATAATCTAGAATCAATTGAAGAATTGGTCTCTAGAAAGAGAAAGTCATTAACTAAGTTGATTGCTGTTGTCAAGAGTCCAGCTGGGTTGGGATGATAAATGGTCATTGAATTTTGCAAACTGGAAGTCACAGATGACTGTGACCAAGCAGTTTCAGTGGGTGGCAGAAGAGAAAAATCTAAATTGAGCAGATGCCAGAAATACATGGAGCAGAGAAATTGTAGCGGGTGGATCTTCCTGCTTCAAATGTTGCATCCTACAGTCTACTTTTTCATACAACATCCAGAGTAGCCTTTGTAAAATATAAATAAGATATTGTCAGACCAGATGGATTCACAGCCTAATTCTACCAGATGTACAAAGAGGAGCTGGTACCAATTTCTACTGAAACTATTCCTAAAAATTAAGGAGGAGGACCTTCTCCCCAACTCATACTATGAGGCCAGCAACATCTTGATACCAAAACCTGGCAGAGGCACAACAAAAAAAGAAAACTTCAGGCCGATATCTTTGATGAACATTGGTGCAAAAATCGTCAACAAAATACTGGCAAACCAAATCCAGCAGCACATCAAAAGGATTATCAACCATGATCAAGTAAGCTTTTTCCCCAGGATGCAAGGTTGGTTCGATGTACAAAAATCAATAAATGTGATTCATTGCATAAACAGAACTAAAGACCAAAACCACATGACTATCTTAAAAGATGCAGAAAAAGGCTTTTGATAAAATTCAACATCCCTTCTTGTTAAAAACTCTCAATAAACTAGGTATTGAAGGAACATACCACAAAATAATAACAGCAATCTGTGACAAACCCACAGCCAGTATTATACTGAATGGACAAAAGCTGGAAGAATTCCCCTTGAAAACCAACATAAGACAAGGATGCCTTCTCTCAACACTCCTGCTCATCATAGTATTGGAAGTCCTACCCAGAGCAGTCAGGCAAAAGAAAGAAATAAAGCCAATCCAAATAGTAATAGAGGAACTCAAACTATCTCTGTATGCAGATGACATAATTCTACATATAGAAAACCCCATAGTCTTTGCCCAAAAGCTCCTTCAGCTGATAAACAACTTCAGCAAAGTTGCAGGATACAAAATCAGTGTACAAAAATGACTAGCATTCTTATACACCAACAACAAGCAAACTGAGAGCCAAATTAGAAAGGCAATCCCATTCACAATTGCCACAAAAAATAAAATACCTAGAAATACAGCATCCAGGAAGGTGAAAGACCCCTACAATGAGGATTACAAAACACTGCTCAAAGAAATCACAGAAGGGCTAAGCGTGGTGGTTCACCCCTATAATCCCAGCACTTTGAGAGGTTGAAGTGGGCAGATCACGAGGTCAGGAGATTGAGATCATCCTGGCCAACGTGGTGAAACCAAGTCTCTACTAAAAATAAAAAAATTAGCTGGACATGGTGGCATGTGCCTGTACTCCCAGCTACTTGGGAGGCTGAGGCAGGAGAACCGCTTGAACCTGGGAGGTGGAGGTTGTAGCGAGCTAAGATCATGCCACTGCACTCCTATCTGGCGACAGAGCAAGACTCTGTCACAAAAAAAAAAAAAGAAAAGAAAAAGAAAAAAGAATAAAGAAATCACAGAAGACACAAAAGAATAGAAAAACATCCCATACTCATGGATAGGAAGAATCAATATTATTAAAATGGCTATACTGCCCAAATAAATTTGAAGATTTAATGCTATTCCTATCAAACTATAAATGACATTCTTCACAGAACTAGAAAAAATTATTTTAAAATGTATATGAAATGAAAAAAGAGCCCAAGTAGCCAAGGCAATTCTAAACAAAAAGAACACAGCATAAGAAGTCACATTTCCCAACTTCAAACTATACTACAAGGCTACAGTGACCAACACAGCATGATACTGCTACAAAAACAGGCACATAGTCCAGTGGAACAGAGTAGAGAGGCCAGAAATAAGGCCACACATCTATTACCATGTGATCTTTAAAAAAGCTGACAAAAACGAGCAGTAGGGAAAAGACTCCCTAATAAATACATGGTGCTGGGATAACTGGCTAACCATATGAAGAAGACTGAAGCTAGACCCCTTCCTTACACCGTATACAAAAATTAACTTAAGATGGATTAAAGACTTAAATATAAAACCAAAAACTATAAAAACCCTGGAAGGCAATACCATCCTGGACTTAGGAATGGGCAAAGATTTCATGACAAAGGTAACAAAGGCAATCACACCAAAAGCAAAAATTGACAATTAAACTTAACAGCCTCTGCACAGCAAAAGAAACTATCAACAGAGTGGGCAGACAACGTACAGAATTGGAGAAAATTATTGCAACTATGCATCTGATAAAAGTCTAATATCCAGCATCTATAAGGAACTTAAACAAATTTACAAGAAAAAACAAATAACCCCATTAAAAAGTGGGCAAAGGGCATGAACAGACACTTCTCAAAAGAAAACATACGTGTAGTCACTAAGCATATAAAAAATTCAATATTACTGATCATTAGAGAAATGCAAATCAAAACCACAATGAGATACCATCTCACACAAGCCAGAATGGCTATTATTAAAACATCAAAAAATAACAGATGCTGGCAAAGTTGTGGAGAAAAGGGAACCCTTATACATTGTTTGTGGGAGTGTAAATCAGTTCAACCATTGTGGAAAGCAGTATGGCGATTCCTCAAAGATCTAAAAGTATAACTACTGTTCAACCTAGCAATCTCATTTCTGGATATATACCCAGAGGAATATAAGTCATTCTACCACAAAGACATGTGCACTCAAATGTTTATTGCAGCACTTTTCACAATAGCAAAGACATGGAATCAAAAAAATGCCCATCAAAGATAGACTAGATAAAGAAAATGTGATACATATACACCATGGAATATTATGGAACCATAAAAAAGAGCGAGATCACGTCTTTTGTGAGAACGGATGGAGCTGGAGGCTATCATCCTTAGCAAACTAACACAAGAACAGGAAACCAAATACTGCATGTTCTCACTTAAAAGTGGGAGCTAAGTGATAAGAACTTATGAACACAAAGAAGGAAACAACAGACACGGGTCTACTTGAGGGGGGAAGGTGGGAGGAGGGAGAAGAGCAGAAAAGATAGCTATTGGGTACTAGGCTTAATACCTGGGTGATGTAATAATACGTACAACAAACCCCCATGACACGTTTATCTATGTAACAAACCTTCGTATGTACCCCCAAACCTAAAATAAAAAATTTTTTAAAATACAAAATAAAAAGCATAAAAAGAGATATTGTCATTTCTTTGAACATAACTTTCAAATGATTTTCCACTGCATTCAAAATAAAGGCCGAACTTTCACCATGACTTGAAAGGTCTGGTATGGGCATTCCCCCGCCACCCACCTAGTATCATCTCACACCATGCTATCCTAGCTTTCTCCCTTGCAGTTACACTGAGTTGTTTCTTTTTTTCTTTCCTCAATGTGCTCACCATTTTTCTCCTCCTTGGACTGTCCACTATTCTTTCTACTTCCTCCAAGCCATGTACACAGAGGACCATCATTTAGTTCCAGCTCAAATAGTATCATTGTTCTACTGTTTATTGTCAGACCACTTAGCTAATTTATAAATTCCATGAGCAAGGTGCTCTCTTTTGTTTTTCACTGTATTCCCAGTACTGAAAGTGCAGGCATGAAATAATTATTTGTGGATATATGGAAAACAAATGAATAGATGGGTCTCTTGTGAGATACACTGGCAGGATAACTACTGTCATCAATGAACAAAGAGTACATTTTAATTAAAATGACATTGTTGAGTTATAGATTTCATTATATAAGCAATGATTGTGAGCATTAACCAGCATATCCAAATGAGTTATTAAATTTTTCAAAATATGCAGCAACATGGATGGAACTGGAGGCCATTCTCTTCAGTGAAACAACTCAAAAACAGACAGTCAAATGCTGCATATTCTCACTTATAAACAGGAGGTAAACAATGCATGCACATGGATATAGAGACTGGAATAATAGACACTGGACACACAAAAGATGGGAGGGAGGGAGGAGGGCAAAGGTTGAGAAATTACCTATTGGGTACAATGTTAATAATTTGGGTGATGGGCACACTAAAAGCCCAGACTTCACTGCTAAGCAATATGTGTATGTAAGGAACCTGCACGTGTACCCCCTAAATACATTTAAATAAAATCTGCAAAATAATAAACTATATTTATTTACATTAATCTTTAATGCTAGTTGTTTTCATTCCCAACACTAGTTTTCCCATCATATATTTCAAATTTGGAGTTGTTATTAACTAGAAAAACTGTGGCAAAGATTTAGGTAGCGTAAACAAGATAGGAAAATCTAGAAACCAAAATATACTAGAATTCTTAATGAATATTTATAAAAGGAAAAAACAGTGAGGAACCAACCTAATTCATTTATTTTATTGCTGTATAATATTTTGTTATATGAATATATCACTGTTTATCCAGTACACATTTAATGATATTTGATTTACTTATGATTTTGAACTATTATAAATAATGCTGCAACTAACTTTCTTATACGTGTCTTTGATGCATATCTGTATGCATTTCTGTTACATATACACATGGGAGAAAATCCTTTGGATCAAAGCCTTTATGTTTGTTTTGGTACATATGTTTAGTTTTGGTATACATGTTTAGTTTTGGTACACACTGACAGTTTTCCCATGTGTCACACTGATTTTATCAACTTAAGCCACTACCAGTGATGGATGACTCCCTATTGGTCCAAATACTTGCCAATACTTGTTAGTATTACAAGGCTGATTCTTCTTGCATTTTGATTGCGGCTGGTCATGTCTCCATTTTGAATTTAATTTGCATATCCTTGATTACTGATATTGTTGTGTAGCTTTTCATGTTTTTACTGGCTTTAGATAATATTCTTTTTTTTAATTTTTTCTGAGACAGAGTCTCGCTCTGTCACCAAGGCTGGAGTGCAGTGGTGCAAGCTCGGCTCACTGCAAGGTCTGCCTCCTGGGTTCATGGGACTCTTCTGCGTCAGCCTCCCAAGTAGCTGGGACTACAGACACGTGCCACCACTCCCAGCTAATTTTTGTTTTTTTTTTTTTTTTTTTTTTTTAGTAGAGATGGGGTTTCACCATATTGGCCAGGCTGGTCTCAAACTCCTGACTTCGTGATCCACCCGCCTCAGCCTCCCAAAGTACTGGGGAGAATATTCTTTTGTGAAGCACCCATTTAAGTCTTGTTGTCATTCTTCTAACGGATTATCTCCTTTTGAAGTCAATGCCTGAGTTCTTTATAGATGGCGCATATGAGTTCTTTGTTAGAAATATGGACTACAAACTTCTTTCCCACTCTGTGGATTGCTTTCCATCCTCTTAAGGTATCTTATGGTAAAAAGATGTTCCTAGCTTTAACAAAAATCAATGTTTCAATCTTTTGTGTTTGCACAGTTAGTGAGATGTTTATACAATTTTGCTATCTCAAGGTCATACAATTATTATTCTATGTTATCTTCTAGAAGTTTTATTATTTTAACTTTAAAATAGGTCCAGATGGTCTACAATCCATCTGGAACTGATATCTGTGTACGGTATGAAGTAAGAGTTGACATTCGTTTTCTCCCTATCGGAATATCCAGTGATCCATTGCTACTGTTTTGAAAGATTATTTGTCCTCTCTGCATTATACTGGTCTGGTCCCTTTTCATTAATCACATCACCATGTGTATGTGGGGTCTTTTTCTCTAGAGTTTCTACATAAGCATTGACTTCAGCGTCTCTTCCACCCGTTGTAAGCCCTACATACTCCTCTCTCATGCTCTGTCTTCTGTCTGTCTGGTGTGATTATGCTGTGGCCGCTGTGAAACTCCCTCCTGCCACTTTCAAATATTCCTCCCCACACAGAACTTAACAGACCCACTCTTTGGGAGCATACTTAAAATTGCTAGTCCAATTATACAATAGTTTACTCAAGACAACGTGCTAATAAATAGCCAAATTTCATCAAAGAAGCCATTTTATGTATTTTGAATTAAAAATGTTTAATACACAGTAATAGGAATGTACACAACTGTTGGATATGCAGCTCATTCTTTTTACTGTTTTATAATATTTCATTGCATGAGTATGTCACCGTTTATCCATTATACACTTAATGATTTTGATTATTATTTTGAACTATTATAAATAACTCTGTAACTAACATTTTTGTACTTGTCTTTGAGGCATATCTGTATGCATTTCTGTTGAATATATACATGGGAGAAAAGCTTGCAAAGGCTGGAAAAGGGAAAACATGCAAAGACTGTTTTAGAAAATTCCAAATTGCTAGGACTACAGCATGAAATGGGTAATTCCATGAGGCTGCTTGATGGTCATAGACAAAACCCCGTATCTGCCATAGGATGTCAGGCATGGACAGACAGGTACCGGTGACCTCTTCTGTCTTCATATCCTTATCCTAACTCACATTGCTGTATTCCACTGGAACCACTGTTGGCTCAGCACTGTTGAGAAACTTTTTGCTCCAAAGCTTCACTGTTGGATAGCAAAGGAGAGCTTAGAGGGTGGAGGTGTAACTAAGCCTCAACAAGTGTATCCCACATAGTGGGTAAAACAAACTTAGGTAAGGCCTCTTAAATACTATTTTCATTTTGAAAGCATTATTTATTATTTTAGCCCATGGAGATTTTGTAATGTAGATATGTAAGCTGAAATGAATTTGTTATTATACGGTTTTTTTTAGTGATTCAAATTGATCATTAACTAAGTTTTAATGTCCCAATCAATACATCTATAGGACTTGATGTTACTAGGCACTTCATTTTTATTTTTTGTTTCAAAATTTTGATGGGCAGGACTAACTGCAATTTAAATTTAGAATAATGGAAAATAATATTCAAAATGTTAAATGTCATCTTTTCTGAGAAATATTCATTAGCAAAATGGATTCGACTTGAAAACACAAAATTGTATTCTAAGAAGAACTTCAGATTGAGTGATTACTGGGGTGCAATTAAAGACATGGCATGTATGGATGAACCTATAAAGTTGTGTTAGTTGGGGAGACGAACACATTAATGGCAAACATTATTAGGGGCTCCAAATCATGTCATACACCATCTAATTAGTGGATATCCGCAAGCTCAGCAGTTGGCCACAGTGTCCAGGTGAGTGATTCAGATCCTGGAGGTTTGTCAGCAGGTACGACAGGTATTTTTGTCATATTGCAGAAGACTGGGGTTCAGGAGAGGAAGTGACATGCCCCCAAGGCAGGCACAGTAGGCACAATGAGAGATATACTCCATGGCATGACAAACAGGACAAGAGTGCGGGATTACTAAATTCAAAAAAGAAACCTGAAATTTGTGAAAATTAGAGCACAGAATCTTATTTCTGAGGAAATTAGTTATCAGAAAACTAAGGGGGAGGGTGGTTGTGTAAATGTGTGACCAGGTTGCTGAGAAACCACCAAAGTCAGAACAAGCAATAGGAAAGTCACCTGTGCTTGTGCCTGAAAAACTGAGCTCCTCAAGTCAGCCTCTCCTGGAGGCTGAGCTCTTCTCAAAATTAGTTGGGAGGTACACAAAGCTCTTGCTAAAAGGGCAATGATGGTGGGAGGGTGAGAGGCAATTACTAGCTGTAGAATGTGGGATACACACAAACGAGCTTGTTATACATAATTCATACATTGGAAGACAAGTAAGATATTCATTGTATAATGACAAAAGGCATGAATGTGGGGACCAGATAGACCTGAATTCACAACTGGCTTGCCGTAACCAAGTTATTCAACCTTTCTGAGCATCAGGATTATAATGTTACTTCACAGAATTTTTCTAAATATAGAAAAAGCGTTATATATGTAAAATGTTTGCCATAGTGCCTGGCACATAGATGACACAAAAATTGTTAGCTATTACCAGTAATAACCTAACAATTTTACTAAAATATCTATTGAATAATTGAAACTATCAGTCAGGATAAAAGTTCAGCTGTTACTATCTGTTATATTTCCTTCAAGCAGAGGAGTATTAAATAAAGGATATTCAAATGTTTTAGTTAGGGTAAGCAATGCTAGCTGCTGCTACAACAGACCATCCTCCCAAATCTAAAAGCAATAACCAGTTAGTTTTTGCTCACATTGATTTAACAGGGCCAAGTGACTACCCTATACCTGTAGCTATGCCATCTGGAGTATGTGGCCTCTAAGCTTCCCCAAGAGGGGGCAAGAGCACCATGCCCAGTGCTCTGAAGTTCCAGGCCTGAGTCTGGTCTATATCAATTCCACCTAAATTTTGCTAGAATTTGCCCACTACCCAACTACAATAGAGGCTGGCAAATCTTGTCTTCTGTGTCTAGGATGAGAGAATGGTATATTTTAAAGATACATTGTCTCTGCCATAGAATTGTGTGAGGGCCAGAGAATGATAGTCACACTTAGGCAATCTCTCATGGAGCACTTCCACAATGCCAGTACAGCTGTGGCTACCGAGAACCTTTATTCCCATGTGCCATCATTCCTCTATAGTCTCCTATAATTTGGAACGATTCTTCGGCCTTACTGTGTGCTTCACGACAATGTCATTTTGAAGAGTACAGACCAGGTATTTTGTAGAATGTCTCTCAATTTGGGTTTGTCTGATATCTCTTCACAATATATGACCCAGAATTTAGACGATACCTTATTTTCTCAGAATTATTCACTATGATATTATGTTCTTCTCAGTGCATCTTATCAAGAGACACTAAGTATTGATTCATCTCATTACTCGTGATGTTAACTTAGATCACTTCATGAAGATGGTGGACCCCTGCCAGGTCTGCTCATTGCAAAGTCACCAGTTAGTTCTTTCTTACTAGTAAGCACATTATGAGGAGACACTCTGAGATGATGTAAATATCCTGTTAGTCCTCAAACTTTCACCAGCTAAGTCACCTTTTGATGATTTTTCAGCATCTTTTGATGATTTTTGCTGGAATCAGTTTGCATTATGATGACTGGCAAGTGGTAATTTTCTAATAATATCAATCCAAAATATGAAACACTTCAAAAATGTGTATGTCAGTCTTGTGCATGTTAATCTTGTTAAACACTGGAACAATGTTTCTGTGTCTTTCCAGTTTTAGGACAAAAGCCAACAAAGCACATTCACTAAGATATATACTTTTAAAAGAGAGGGGGTGGAATTGATAATTTCACAATACTCATACAACTCTTTGTTTTGCTATATGTTCTTCCAGTCTTCATGTACATAAATGCATAACTTAAACTATGAATAAAATATATACAATTTTAATTTAAGGCTATGTTATATTTTTAATACTATTTTCAGTATAATTTCTCTATAATTTTCTTAAGGTCTAGTAGCACTCTGTCCTCACTCTGTATTTCAGCACACTGGTCTTTCAGATTCTTCAAAGATCATGCTCTCCTGCTCCTCTCTCATGGGATGGTCCTTGATCATGAAATGAACCTTACACCTAATCGTTTAGTCTATATTTCAGTGCAAGTGGTACTTCTTTAATGAAGCTTAGGCTAAGTGATATTCTTTTGTTGTCTTTCTGAACATCAGGTAATTATCAGAGTTTGTAAGTATATATTTCCTTGACTGATCAAAGAAGGTATCTGTCTCTCTGACTAGCCTGTAGGTTCCCTGAGGCCAAGAACCCTGGTACCCAGGTCAATGACTGACCAGCACCCACCTAGATCCCGGTGAATACATATGGGATGACTGGGTGCCTTGTTGCTGAGCACTTTTTTTTTTTTTTTTTTTGTATTGTATACACAGTGGAAAGCTGGTTTTATTTGGGAGACAATGGGAGCTTTTACATTGTTGAGCAAAGGAGTGACGAGATCAGTCTTGCTTTTTAGAAAGATTAGTTTGGCAGTTACTTATTTGTAACCAGAATTAGACAGCAAATCTGATGCAGGGGAGAAGTCAGGTGACTATTAGTCTGCGAAGTAATTCTGGACAAGAGCAGTGGTAATGGAATTGAAAAGGATTAAAAGTGTTTACCAGGTTTTAGCAATAAATCCAATGCGAGGAAGAGGAACGTAAGATGACATTTTAAATTTGAGAGTGGTAGTACCATTAAAAACTAATGAATTTTGATTAACTAGTGCTTTAGGCCCTTTGAAATTATTTTGAATTTTGGTTCTTTCTGAACAATGCACCAGATTTCTAGACAAATACTTAAGGTGTTTTTAGACATCTATTTAGTGCCTATTATAGCATGGTGTTAGCTTCCGAAGAGACAAGAATGATGAAAATACAATCTTATCCATTAGTGGCATTGTGAGAGGTCTAGCAGTAACTTGTTCATCCTATGCCCTGATCCACCCTTTCTCATTTCCTTATTAAGCACACAATACTGAGACCAGAATAAAGCAGTGCATTTACTACCTTGTGAAGAATGTTCAGGTGTTCAGGTATGGTATCTTCATTTTGTGCTGCTATAACAGAATACAGGAGACTGGGTAATTTGTAAGGAACAGAAATGTATTTCTCACAGTTCTGGAGGATGGGAAGTCTAAGATCAAGGAGCTGGCACTTGTTGACTAGGGCTTTCTTGCTGTGTTCTCACATACAGAAGGCAAGCTAGCAGGATGCTCCCTGAAACCTCTTTTATTATGGGCCTTCATCCCAGTCCTAAGAGAATCCTTCATGGCCTAGTGATCTCTTAAAGACCCCACCTCTTGATGCTGTCACATTGGCAACACTTGAATTTGAGGGGACACATACAAGCCATAGCAAACTGAACATTTCTCCCATGCCAGATAGCACCATGTTCTTTGTCAGTAGGTGGTGGTAGAGGGGCACTGCAGGATAAAGGGGCTTCTTTCACTTCTAAGATGATACTGTGACAGTTAATTTTATGTGTCAACTTGGCGGGGCCACAGGTGCCTAGCTACTGGGTCATACTTTTTTTTTTTTTTTTTTTAGAGATTTAACTTTTGCTCTGATTTTCCAATTATAAGGTCAAACATTATTCTAGGTGTTTCTGTGAGGGTGTTTTATATGAGATTGACATTTAAATCAATCAGTGAACTCTGAGTAATGCAGACTGTCCTCCTCGATGTTAGTGGGCTTGATCCAGTCAGGTGAAGGTCTGAAGAGAAAAAAAGACCGTCCTCTTCCCAGAACAAGAGAATCCTCCAACAGATACCTTTGGACTGGACCTTGCACCATCAGCTTTCCTGGGTTTCCAGCCTCCTGCCTCACACTCCAGCTTTTGGACTTGTTAGACTTAATAATAACAACACAAGCCAATCCTTTTAAGGAAGTTTGTCTGGAGAATCTTGACAAACACAAACATCTACTGAGAGTTCCTGTCCAAGTTTTGCTCACACCCTAGCAAGAGGCTTCTGGCTTACCAGTTGAGAGTGTGAGGTTCTTTGCTTGTAAGACCTGATCCACCAGCGGTACACCAGCTCTGGCCCAGGGCAAGACAGGGAATTTCCCAATCACTGAGTAGGCTGTAGCCACTCTCTCCATTAGGCCTGACTTCACCATGGGGAAGGGGAGACCCTTTCAAGGGTATTCTTTCCTGGGGTACTCTCAGTCCTAGGACATCATAGCTCTCTTTCATCCCTCTTAAAAGTTAATACCATTATCAGTTAACAGTTTTTTATATTAAAATTATCCCTGTTCAAGTTAATGGTATGGTTTCTGTATCCTGACTGGATATTAGGATACAGTATTTACTGTCTTATTTCTACTACTTTATGTTTAAAGTTTTTCATAATATTTAAACTGAAGTTTTGATCATTCATTAAATATTTACACAGAACAGGACAAAGGATGATTTTCCTTTGTCTAGTTATTGTAAGGTAGCGTCCAAGATTTACCACCACATCATGATTACAGATGGTCACCAACTTATGTTTTAGGATTTTTTGACTTTATGATGGGTTTATAGGGATGCAGCCCCATTTCAAGCTGAGGAGCTCCTTAGGGCTTAGGAATCATACCTCTTTCACACCATGGTAAAGTTGGAAAATTGTTAAGTCAAGCTGTCATTAATTAGGAGACTGCTGTGTTGCTAACGTTATATGCATTTTTAACTTATGACGGGTTTATTGGGAATTAACCACAATGTAAATCGAGGACCATCTGTATATTGTATGATTTTTGCTAATGCATTGAGAGAGATCTGTGTAAATTATCTATGACTTCAGAATATGCATATTACCTCCAACTGTGTTAACTCACGTTTTTCAAGAGAGTAAGGGTACTTTCACCCTATGTGGATGTACTGTAGAATTTTTCTAAGCTACGAAAGTCTATAAATAACAAATCAACTTAAACTTTTTGGGAAATAATTTCTACTAAAGATTCATAATTGGCGTATTCCTTCAATGACTGTACAAGTTCATCCAGTAGATAATCTCCTTGCATAAAAGTTTCAAGATCATGCAGCGTCTTGTTTATTCTGTGATCTGTGACCCGGTTCTGTGGAAAATTATATGTTCTTATTTTCTCTGATCTTCCTTTACTTCCAATCTGAATTTTTCTAGCATTCTGTCTTTTATTTATTTCTTCTTCTACATGCATGCTGTACAGTTTTGCACGTAACTTTGTCATAGCCAGCTCTTTATTTTTCAGCTGAGATCTCTCTTGTTGACATTCAGAAACAACACCTGTTGGAAGATGAACTATCCGGACAGCACTGTCCGTGGTATTTACATGCTGCTCCCCAGCTCCACTGGCTCGCTTAGTGTCAATTCTCAAATCTTTCGGATTAATCACCAGATTAATCTCAGTAGGCTGGGGTAATATTGCTACAGTCATGGTGCTAGTATGGACGCAGCCTTGCTTTTCTGTCTTTGGCACTCTTTGTACTCTGTGAACACCTCCTTCAAATTTCATGTGCCTATAGGCTTCTGAACCCCCAATGCTGGCAGATGCATGTCTAAGGCCACCTACTTCACTTGGAAAATATTCCAGGGTTTCAAAATGCCATCTTTTAAATGCAGCATATTGCTGATACATATCAAATATCTCTGATGTAAACAACATTGCCTCCTGACCTCCAACTCCTGCAGTTACTTCCAGGATCAAATCATTTTCATCTGTTTCTTCTGAGGGAACCAAAAGTAAGATAATCTGATGCTTCAGCTGAGTTATTTCTTTTTGACACAAAGTGATTTCATTCTCTGCAAGTTTCCTTAAACCTTCATTCTCATCGTGCAGCAAGTGCTCAGTCTCCCGCAGCTCCTGCTCCTTCTCGTTCAGCAGTTTGATCACCGCCAGCAACTCGGGCCTCCTGACCTTCAAATGGGCTTCAGACCCCGCCTGGCGCTCGAGGAAGGTCCGCAAGGGCCCGCCCCGGGCGAACAGCTTCTCCAGCGGCGGGCTACCGGAGCTCAGGGGCCGGCGGGCTGGGCCAACGGCCCGGCGGGGCCAGAGCCACCGGGCAGCGCCCCCGCTGAGCACTTGGATTATTGCTATTTTGTATCATATGAACTGACATACGTGTGCACTTAACTCTTTTCAGTAATAACAACATTAAAAACTGTAATTGAATTTACTTTAATGGGTCAGAAGTACATTATTGAAATTTTTTTGGGTTCCATTCTGAGTTTGTGATTCACTTTAATAGTCACCCATGATGGGGTCCTCAGTAGCATTGATTTTGATAAACCTCATTTGTATCTCGGATGCAAGCCCTTCTGATAGGCTGATAGACATAAACTCTCCTTTCATGTAGCTAATTGAAGATGCTCCCTTCTTAATTTCTTTCTAATCTTAATTGCCTTTTTCTTTTTTAATCAGAAATAACACTCAGTCATCCGCTTCTTACCAAACTCTCCTTTCACTCTAGCTTCTGCAACCCTGTTATTTTACATACTTTCCCATTGAAAGGGACCTCAAGATATCTGCTTGGAAAATCTCTATTCAGTTAAATATCTTCACGGCTATTTACATTTTACAGATGAGGCCATTGTCACCCAGAAAAGCAACCCTGGGAAATCTAACAAGAACACTTCCTTCTTATGCTTTATTTCTCTGTGGAGGCCCCATAACTTAACTTTAAAAATTATTTCTCATTGAAATTGGCTTTCAGTGTTTAATGGATAGTACTTTTACTTCACATGTATTTTTTTTTTTTCTTTGCAAATCTTTGCAGTAAATATAGTTTCTCTCAAGGGCTCCTCCTAAAACTACATATCATAAACTAGCATTCTTAAAGCCAGAAGCTTTAAAGATCTAAGCCCCTAGGTTTTACATTTACATCTGAGCCTCATAACTGAGGATTTTTCTACAACAGTCTTCTCTGTTATTGTTTTTTTCCACTCCACTTCATTTGTAATAAAGTATACATATGTAAGCAGCTACATATGTAGCTTCTCCTAGGACGCCTCATGCATAAACAATAAAGAGTATATTCTTTCAAGCCTTACACAGACTTTTTTTTCCAATGCTGTTTACAGTAATCAAAATATAGGCTTCATTTTTTAGGATGACCACAACCTATGTCTTTGACTTATTATGGCCATAGCAACTATGCTAGATGAAGGAACGATACTTTGAAGAGAAGCCGTCTTCTACCCAGCTCTGTGTGGCTAAGGGGAAGAAATACAAATGTGAGTTTTTCTTACTTGGTGAACCAAAATTTACTTAAATTATAATTAAGTGATTTGAATATCTTTAAAATATTTTTCCAAACATTCTACCATCTCTATAATATGGCTCCTGAAAGCCTGGAGTACTATGTTCACTGATAATGAAAACATTCTATGAAGATTTTATGTTAATTTGATTGTATTATTTAGTCCCATTGATTAGGGTTTCTTCAATTTATGTTTTTTTCAAATCAGTATCACTGACAAGTGAAATCTGATTTCAACGACACCCAACCACATGCCCTACATCATTTTTATTATATCAGTGAGCTATCATGAATGCATAACTGATCTTAATTTGTATGATTGCCCAAGCTAGCAATATTTATAGGATTGCTTTATATGATTAATTTTGCATTTTATATCTGTTTCAAGCTGAGAAGACAGTTTAATATTTATTTTCACAATTACTTATTTATTTTTAAATTATTTTAAATATTCTAGTGTGGGCTAAGGACTGGTTCCAAATCTGAAAATAAATGAATCTCAACACAACTGATTCAACATTGTCTCTGAGTAGTCCACAAGTGTACTGAATGTCTACTGCATGTTCACGTAAAGTGAATTCTACAAGAAAGTTGTATAAGTCCTTCTAATTTGGATTTTTTTTTTTGTAAGAGGCAAGGAAGATCTTTCTGTATCAACAAGACTGGTCTCAAACTCTTGGGCTCAAGTGATCCTCTGACCTCGGCTTCTCAAGTAGCTGAGACTACAGGAGTGCACCACCATGCCCGGCTTAAAGGCAAAACTATCTAGGTTTTATTTTAAAGTTTATTTAAGTTTAGGTCTCTTAAAACTTTTAAGGGAAAAATTTTGGGTAACAGAAAAAGAATAGTTCCAACGAAGACATTCAGTAACAACAGAAATCATTTCACTAATTAGAAATTCTATGCCATTTGAAGATTTTAAGTTTTAGATATTTATTTCATATTTATTAATGCCATAAAAACGATTTCATGAAGCATAAAGCTGGCAATTACTTAAGCAGTATAGTTTTCTTTAGGATTTGAATGCTTTTATAAACCAAACAAATGCAAAATAAAACCTAAAACAGCAATTAATATTACTTCAATAATGACAACATTCATTGCTATGTTTCACAAATAATTATATATATAATATATATCACAAATATTACAAATAATTACAATGAATAAGCCCTTGGGTGTCATAAAAGCCAACTTCAGACTCCATATGTGAAAGTCCAACTTTTTGGTGTGTGATTGTTTTTGTTTGTTTGGTTGGTTTTTTACCAAGGCTTTGCATTTTATTTTTGTAGTTTAAGGAATAAGACAGTTGTATCATTCAATTTCTTTATTTGTTTTCAGGGGAATATTAGTTTATGTTTAGAGGAAATTCACTGAATATATGTAGTATAAGAATTTCTCTTTTATAGCATAAACATTAAACATAACTATGCATGTTTTAACTTCTAATTTTTATCTTTTTTTTCATATTTAAAGAAGACCTCCTAAGACATGAAAGCCTAAAACCACTTTTATTGGAAGATTTTAGAAGCTTTTCAGGAATACCGTTGTGGTGGTGCAATCCTGTAGCCTCTGGCTATTTGGGAGGCTGAGGTAGGAGGCTCTCTTGAGCCCTGGAGTTCGAGTTCCACCTGAAGAAGAAAGAAAAGGAAGGAAGGAAGGAAAGAAGGAAGGAAGGAAGGGAGGGAGGGAGGGAGGGAGGGAGAGGGAGGGAGGGGAAGAGAGAGAGAGAGGGAGGTGACAACGTGCTAGCAGCCCTCGCTTACTCTCCGCACCTCCTCGGCCTCGGTGTCCACTCCGGCCATGCTTGAGGAGCCCTTCAGCCTGCCACTGCACTGTGGGGGCCCCTCTCTGGGGCTGGCCGAGGCTGGAGCCAAGCCAGCTCCCTCTGCTCACAGGGAGGTGTGGAGGGAGAGGCGTGGGTGGGAGGCGCTCCCGGGCCTGTGCAGGTTGCGGGTGGGCAAGGGCTCAGCAGGCCCCACGCTCGTCGTGGCCAGCCATTGCCTGCTGGGCTTGATCAGGGGGCGAGCTCCCTCTGGGCTGCCAGAGTGCCCAGGCTAGATACCACAAAGTCCCACAGCAAGTGCCATTGAGAGGTGAAGCCAGCTGGGCTTCTGGGTTGGGTGGGGACTTGGAGAACTTTTCTGTCTAGGTAAAGGATTGAAAAAGAAACAATCAGCACTCTGTGTCTAGCTAGAGGTTTGTAAATGCACCAATCTGCACTTTGTGTCTAGCTCAAGGTTTGTAAGTGCACCAATAGGCACTCTGTGTCTAACTCCAGGTTTGTAAGAGCACCAATCAGTGCTCTGTGTCTAGCTAATCTAGTGGGGACTTGGAGAACTTTTGTGTCTAGCTAAAGGATTGTAAATGCACCAATCAGTACTCTGTGTCTAGCTAGAGGTTTGTAAATGCACCAATGAGCACTCTGTGTCTAGCTCCAGGTTTGTGAAAGCACCAATCAGTGCTCTGTGTCTAGCTAATCTAGTGGGGACTTGAACTTTTGTGTCTAGCTAAAGGATTGTAAATGCACCAATCAGTACTCTTGTGTCTAGCTCAAGGTTTATAAACGCACCAATTAGCACCCTGTCAAAACGGACCAATCAGGTCTCTGTAAAATGGGCCAATCAGCTCTCTGTAAAATGGGCCAATCAGCTCTCTCTAAAATGGACCAATCAGCAGGATGTGAGTGGGGTCAGATAAGGGAATAAAAGCAGGCCACCCGAGCCAGCAGCAGCAGCAGTAGCCCTCCCTGGTTCCCTTCCATGGTGTGGAAGCTTTGTTCTTTTGCTCTTGGCACTAAATGTTGTTGGTGCTTATTGTTTGGGTCTGCGCAGCTATAACGCTCACCATGAAGGTCTGCAGCTTCATTCCTGAGGCCAGCGAGACCGTGAACCCACCGGGAGGGATGGACAACTCCAGACGCGCCACCTTTAAGACCTGTAACGCTCATTGAGAAGGTCTGCCTCTACACTCCTGAAGCCAGCAAGACCATGAACCCACCAGAAGGAATGAACAATTCCAGACACACGGCCTTTATGAGCTGTAACACTCACGGCGAAGGTCTGCAGCTTTACTCCTGAAGTCAGCGAGACCACGAACCCACCAGAAGGAAGAAACTCCAGGCACATTTGAACATCTGGAGGAAAAAACTCTGGACACACCGTCTTTAGGAACTGTAACACTCACTGCAAGGGTCCGAGGCTTCATTCTTGAAGTCAGCGAGACCAAGAACCCACCAATTCCGGACACGGAAGGAAGAAAACTTAACTGAAACAACATTTTGTGAGGAACGTGTACGTGGGTTTTTATCAATATTCGTGATTCACTTGATGGTCATAGGTTCCTAAGGATTATTTTATCTAAACCAGACCACACCGTTAATCTCCCTGAGCATCCTGATGACTGTGTTTCAAAGGCCCCTGAATGAGAGCCAATGTAAAATGGGGTTGAAGGTGGTAATATGGCAGCGTGAGATAGAAGGTATTATCCCAGGAATTTCTAACTGCTGTGTAAACATCAGCGCAGAATAAGTGTGTGCTGGGTAAAGTTGGGCCAATATACAACTTTATCTGTAATGAGTGAAATGCAGCACAGGTGAAGGCGACTGTGTTGATGCATAAAATACCACACACGTGGAGAGGTGGTGAACTTTTCAGAGGCTTTGTTATTCCAGCTGCACGGCAAGAACACGGCGTCTGCCCTACCTGTATCCATTTCCCCCGCCGAGCCTGAGATTTCCAGGCTGCAAATAAATGCTCTTTGGTAATTCAGAAACTTGGAGAGATCAATGTTCAGAATCACCTGGATAATCCAGTGCCAGTCTTAAACTGTATTAGGATTTCTAAGGTTTTTGTTGACTAAGCCAGTGAACATGGCATGAAGTTGTCTGAGTCACCATTGCCAAGCTAAGACGAAGTGGGAGAGAGTTAGATCCTGTAAGGCACCAAACTCAGCCCAAATGGATAAAATAGAAATTCTGAAAATGTGTGCATCAACTTATTCTCTAAATGTAAGATCCCTTTTAAACACATTCTTTCAGTGAATCTCATAGGAAATCAAGAGATCTACTTTCTGTCCAGACACGCTGACTCACGCCTGTAATCCCTGAACTTTGGGAGGCTAAGGTGGGCAGATCACCTGAGGTCAGGAGTTCAAGACCATCCTGGCCAACATGGTGAAACCCTGTCTCAACTAAAAATACAAAAATTAGCTGGGCATGGAGGCGCTACTGGGGAAGCAGAGGCAGGAGAATCACTTGAACCCGCGAGGTGGAAGTTGCAGTGAGCTTAGATCACACCACTGCGCTCCACCCTGGGTGACAGAGCAAGACTCTGTCTAATTAAAAAAAGAGAGAGACCTATTTTCTTCTTGGATAAATAAATCCCACAAATCTGAAGTTTGATAGGCTTTGATTTGCCATACTAAATTTAGTATAAACTCAGAATTCCTAATCCAAGGGCCTTGAGGCCAAAACCTTTTAGATTTTGGAGGTTTTCATATTTTAGGAAGGTAATGGTGTGCATATATCATGTATTATGTCTGGATCAGCACCCCACATTCAAATACATTAATATTGATACAGTGAAATGTATGAATATTCAAACTAGGTGTGATAAATAAAAAGCAGGTGTAACTTAACGTCAGATCAGAATAGGTTTTGCTGCCATAATTTGTCACAAATCTATTAGGATATTTATGATTTGAAGAGCTTTTTAGTATTGAAATTATAGACCTAATGCCTCCAGGCAATCACTTAAGGGTCCAAAGTTTAGCTATGTTCTATTTCTAAAGCCAAGCTGCGAGAAAGTAATATGATTATGTGAACAATGGGAGACTTCATGTAAAAGAAAACAGCCTCGTGCCAGTGAGAGTAGAGATGGCGTAAAAAGCAATCATCTTTGAGAAGCTGTAAATTCCTTCCAGAGTATAATTAACTAATACAAGATTATTTTGTGGGAATGTTTTGATAATGGGGTCAGAGGACAAGTAAAGGTAAATGTTCTTTAAAGTTTGGAATCCCCTAAGTTCATTAACTCCTTGTCAAAACTAATTCTAATATTTCTTATTTCATTTTTGGCTTTATAAAGTCACATCAAGAAATTTGAATGTTATCCCACTCATAATGGAAACTCATGGAAAACTTAGGCAGAAAATTGGTAAAATCCGGTTCACATTTTATGAAACCCTTGGCGTCATTGTAGAGAAAGAAAAAAGACAAAGATTGGAAGCACAAGGGCTAATTAAAAGATTGTTGCAAAATATAGGTAAGATTTGATGATCTGGAATTGATAAATATAATTCAAAAAGTATTTATAAGGTAAAACTGACAACGTAATGCTTGTTTGGGGAATCGCACAGGAGTCACCAATGTTCCAATTTTTCAAATGGACTCTATTTTCACTGAAATAGAATACAAGAGGGAGAGCAATTGTGTGGGGCATGTGACAGACAGAGGCAGCAGCAGAGTTGAGCTAATGAGTTCAGTGTTGAATATATTGAGTTTGAAGTTCCCATGTGACGTCCAGATGGAGATATCCACCAGCAGTCAGCTATGACACCTAAAGGTGTTGGGGAGACAGATGAACTCATGACGTAAATGTTCTGTCAAGAAATATAGATCTTAAAGATGGTGCACAGAGAACGCAGAGTGGGAAGTGAAGCTTAAGGGCACCATTAACGACAGTTTGGTTCAGGAAGGGGCCCCCACCAAGCAGGCTGGGAAAAGGGGACACATTATTAGGAGAAAAACCAAAACTGCACTGTGGCTTGGATGACAAAGTAAAGTATGTTTAAGAAAGGTGAGATTGTTAGATGAAGAAATTAGAGTTATTAGTAAAAAAGAAAATGGGACTTGTTTACTGTTTTTAATGTCAAGGAGGGCACTAAGGGCCATAGTACAGCAGCTTTGTGAAGTCGTGGACGGAAGTCAGACTGCCTAGGATTGCAGAAGAGAGAGTAAAAGACAGTTCGGTGTGAGAATGAGGGGACAGGTAGGATAGAAGCTATTTCACAAAAGAAAAATTTACACAGAGCAACTCGAGCTTGTTTAAGAAAAGAATTCATGTGCAGAGAAAGATGGAAAATATAGGACTGACAAGAGAGTACAGCAGTACAATGTCACCAGGGAGGAAAGAAAGAATCAGGAACTGGTTTAGGAAATGGGCCTAAAATAGAGGAGAGCACCCCTCTTCCATTGTAACAGGAGAGAACGGAAGATGCAATGAGCGTGGATTTAAGAAGGTTTATAGAGTTGGTTATAAATATTTCTTAGTTTGGCCAGGCCCCGTGGCTCATGCCTGTAATCCCAGCACTTTGGGAGGCTGAGGCAGGTGGATCACCTGAGGTCGGCAGTTCGAGATGAGCCTGACCAACATGGAGAAACTCTGTCTCTACTAAAAATACAAAATTAGCCAGGTGTGGTGGCGGCTGCCTGTAATCCCAGCTACTTGGGAGGCTGAGGCAGAAGAATAGCTTGAACCCGGGAGGTGGAGGTTACAGTGAGCCAAGATCGCACCATTGCACTCCAATCTAGACAACAAGAGCAAAACTCCATCTCAAAAAAAAAATAATAATAATAAAATAAAATAAATAAAAAAAACTTAATAGTTTATGGCTTCCACTATCCCCATGAAAGAGCTGGGAGAGACAAAGGTGTTGGGTATGTGAGGTTAAAAGTGAAAAGAGAACTTCTGAAACCACAACTGTAGAGAATGCATGAACCAACTAGCACGCATTGGAGTTCTCAACGGAAGTCGCAGGCTGAGTTACGCTGATACGGCAGCATCCAGCTGCACAATTAGTAACTTTCAGTTAGCAGTCTCACAAAGAAAGAATGATGGTGGTCGATATATGTGGGAGGTTACAAGACATGCCCCAATACTCAAACCAAGAACATGTCAACATAACATTTATATTGCTTTTTATTTAAAAATATTAGAAAATGTTATCAAGCGGAGAACTTGAGAAAGTGAAGACGGAAATGAGCATGACCTGACCATGAGTGGGAATGTATCGTATTGAACCAGCCTCCTCCTCCTTTAGCGGCATTAGCAATCTGGAATACAAGAGATTGTATCTATTGTATTGACAAATACAGTGCATTCTCTAGAAATAATGTACGTTGAAGTTGAGGAGGCATTTATGTGCTAACGTTGCTAGACCATAAACTTCTCAAGTTATTAGTCTGTTTTTCACATTGATGCAAAAAACAACTATGAAAGTTTTTCACAGAGAGTACATCCAAAATAAATATTTATGGAATGAATTAAAGAATGATCAAAGATACACACTGAATGTGGGATAAATGTCAATCTGGAGCAGAACCTTCAGGTTTGTACCCTTTTCGGTCTTGACTGTTATAACTTGGATGAGAAAAAGACAGCATAGTTATAAAATTTGTATTTGATATACAAACAAGAAGAACTTTAATTAGAATAAGTTGATAACCCTGTATTTTTATTTAAATTTAACTAGGCAGGTATAGGATGGGGGAGGTTAATAAAAGATAAGCTCATTGTGATGCCAAAAGCATATCTATTTTAAAAACACAATTATGATTCTATGCCACAAAAAAACGAAATTATATTTAGGGTGGTAATACTGTCCTGCACACAATGCGAACACATTGGAAATACTGAATTCAGTTTTCTGTGCTGTTATTAAATCCAACTCATAGTCTCATGGACAGTTTTTTAGATAAACATAGAAATTGACCCTCCTTATCTCAAAGCTTGAACCTTATACTTCTTTTATCTGAGTTCCTTCCTCAGGAAATGGCTTTCAGTCCCCTCAAAAAGGTTTCAAAGAACTGAAACTCAACAGATCACCACATCCAGACAATGAGATGCTGGACCCCTCTTTCATCATGATGGCTTCCTTGCCCCTTCCTATTTCCTGTTTCCTTATACATTGTTACATTTCTTCCCTGCTATGTAAACTCCTAGTTTTAGTGAATCAGGGAGATGGATTTGAGACCTGAGCTCCCATCTTCTCGGCTGCAGCACAGGATTAAAGCTTCTTCCTTGGCAATGCTCATCATCTCAGTCATTGTCTTTCTGTGCGGCGAGCAACAGGACCTAGATTGAGCTCCTTGTGTTTTGGAAACATTATGGGTAATTAGGTAGAGATTACCTGGACAAATGGTAACTAAGATCTCCAAACCTCTGAAAAAAATGAGGACAGGGATATGCAGAATGAGCAGCTCAGGGAGAAAATTATACCATTGTCAAATATAACAAAAGAAAACTGATCATTGTCTAGTAGACTGTAGGACTTCCCATTTTATGGAGGAAGTTATACTCATTGACCTTCAAGATACTGTCATACTCTCAGATTCCCTATGTTTCCTGTTCTAAAGGAAACCTAGAGGGTTTTAAAGAACAGAAAAGCCACTTAAACATTTTAATTCTTGCTCACCAATAGTAGTATCAGGAAACCAATCAGTTCCCCTTCAATGGAATCTTTGCAATAAGACATTTTAATTTCTTAACCTTGTTAAGCCAGACGTATTTTTTACTTACAAATGTTTGTCTTACTTGCAAGTAAAGGGGAATTACTTTAACAGATCCAAATTTACTATGTGTAATTTTGTCTTGAAGATAAATGTGCTTTCAACCAAAATATTTGCTGAGTCACTGGACTCCAGATTTTTCAGATTTGATTTTCAGACCTTCTAAATGAAAATGTGAGTTTTATTTTTATCTGAGTTAATTTTAAATGGTCACTAGTTAATGAGTTATCTATAGCAGTTCAACTTACAAAAGCACTTCATATATTTAGGTGAAAATAAATAGTGTTAAAATTTTAAAACACAACTATTGTGTTTCTTCTAATTACTTTTTGCCGATATTCTTTTATTTAAGTATATAACGTGAAAATGGAATTAAGCCAGAGTTCTGGCCAATATTTCTTTTTGATACATAAAATTTCACTAATATTTATATTAAGTAAAATCTCTATTAAATACTTTGTTTTTAATGGCTTTCCAAGCTAGTTATATAGTTTATACCTTTAAAAAGAAGATTCAGTTAACTAGAATCAATATTAGGGAAGAATTCTATATACATTTACACATACGTAATAACATTTAGAACTTTTTATGATTTATAGGTTTATAGGGAGATTCTGTTGAACTGATTCTAGACATGTTTTTGTATCTTAAACTATTTAATCTATTTGTACTCTGTTAAGACTAGCTGTAAATACAAAGTATGTCTAACCACCACTATCCACATACCTAAACTTTGATGTCTTAGAAACAATATAAAGCAAAAATCCAGACTTAAATGTACTCATTTCAGAAATGCCTTAATATTTACACAACACTCTAAATAATGTGGTTTAGGTCACTAAAATTAAATAAATTCCTATTTTAAAATACCTCAAGTTAAATTGGTTATATATACAGAAGTACAATATATTTAGAGTTTTTTTTACACTTTCTGTTCTTGACTAGGCAAGATTTTTTTATCTTTTCTTTTTTAGACCAGACAAAAAATTTCACATGAGGAACATTTGAAATTATTAATGAGAGGAAAAAATGGCCTTGTCTTTTATAGTAGCGTTTTCTTTTAATAGTTCTCTCTGAAAAATTGTGAACCAAAATGGAAAATAAGTTGGAATGAACTTAGAACAGATTTTAGAAGGCAAAACATAAACCATCACTTGGAAAATGGTTCTTAAGCATTAATTTTACACATATTATTTGTTAACTCATATCATTCAATTTGTTTCTTACTTTTACATTTGTTTTTCAATTTTTAATTTCTCTTAAATGTATAATTACACAAATGCAGTAGCCAGTGAAATTAAAACATCATACAGAGAACTCCAATATTTTTCTCTAACTGTAGCTTCAAAATTATCTAAGTGAGCACTGGCTGTTGTTAGAAGGAATGCACTATTGTGGAAATAAGTCTTAAGCTAAAAGAGTTGTATTCTATTCCTGTGTTCTTTATTTTCTAGCAATAGTGTCATGAATTAGTCACTTTAAGACTCAGATTCTTCCATCTCTGCAATGAACAATTGTATATTCTTAGTTTATCTTTCAGGATTGTTATAATAAACTGGAACATAAACCAATTAATTACAAATAAGCCATTATAAAAATGAATTATATTATGCTCAAATTCATCTCTCTGCATGGGTGCATATGTATTTTTCTCCAATCTGTATTCTAGTAGAGAGTGTTTCTGAAAAGACTTTGTGTCTGATTCCCTGTCTATGTCAAAAGCAGTTCTTATCCCATGTGCATAGCATATTTCTAAAGTAATACAAAAATAAAAAGAAATTAAAGCCTTTATAGGTCATTTCTCTTGTATAGCAATTTAACTATTGATTCTGGGGTGTTTTTTCAGATTAAAATCTGGTGCTTGTGGAAAGACATTTTGTCTTTTCACTGCTTTGTTTATTGTTAATAAATGACTGTCACTATTTGTGGAACTACCTGTGCCAAGGATAGCTGAATTTGGATGTAGTATTTTCCCTAGCAACTTTTAGAAATACCACAGGCTTGTGTCCTGGTGTTTGAGGAAGAAACATCAATGATCCTCACGGTGTGTGGTCTCCTAATGAGCTATTCCAGTCTTGGATGCTGAATTTCAGCCCTCTTGCTAAGTGTTTTAACTTCTAGACACAATTCATATGTTCTGTAGCTTTATGGAATTATGTACAAAATGTTTAAGTCAAAAACAACTTTCTTGTCAATAAAAGTTGGAGTAGATGGTGTGAATTATTATGTCACTGAAATTCACTTAAATCAACATTTGTTATCCAATGCACAGAATGGTAGCATGGAAACAGCAAAGAGTTTCTGAGTTTAAAACTTGAGAATAAGTTCTGAGTATTTAACTGATCTATTTTTAACAAGCACATCTGTTCTGCAACTCAATTTTTTAATCTTAATAAGGGTGTAGAACTATATATTTTATAAGTTCTGTTTTAAACTGTTGATTCTATGAACTCCAATACTCTAGACAGGTTTTGTTTTGAAAAAACAAACATTTTCTTGAAGTCTGTGTAAGCCATTTTTATAACCCAATTTCAGCATATATGATAGAGGGTCTGGAATGGGCCTTGGTCACTCTTGGAAAATACTGTTTTTTAGGTAGCTTGCTAAATTGAAATACAACTCTTTTATTATAATGTGTCGTGGCAAAGACTCTATGTTCTATGATTATAGCAGCTGTTTTATAAGCATTTTAGAAGAAAACACAGCATATAAATATATGTATTTGATTTTCATGGAAAAAGTAATTCACAATTTGGCTTAGATACTTAGTCATCATGCTCAGCATGTAGCTTAGAAATTTTCTATCTGGATCAATAAACGCTCTTAAGTTGTGTAAAATGAATTTAATATACTGCTTTCTCAGTGTTTTGGAATGAATACAAGTGTGTGTATATACATATATATATACACACACACACACTCACACACACACTGTTTAAAAAATCAATTGTTCAAAATATGCATATTCCCAAATTATTATTCTTCCATAAAGTAAGAGCAACAGAGATAGCATTATTTGATTGACAATTTGGCAATGATACTATTTCTTACACCAAGTATACATCTTTGCGGGTCTTTCAATATGCTCAATTATCTGGACCTGTTTAATCTGCCCAGGCTCCTCCCTGTTGCTCATCCACCTTGATCTGCTATCCTAGTGGTTCTCGCCTTCACCTTTTCTCATCCATTCCTTTCCTAATTCCCATCTCTATGTTGTTGTCAAGAATGGTGCTTCCATCTGCTGAAAACTCCCTACTTTCATATGAATCATGTTTATTTCTTAAAAAGTGTGACCATGCCAGTGATTCCAGTGCTTTAGAAGGCAGAGGCAGGATAATCACTTGAAGCCAGGAATTTGAGACCTGCTTGGGCAACATAGGCAATTCCTTCTCCACAAAAACTTATTTTACAATTAACCAGGTGGGGTGGGATGTGCCCGTGGTCCTGGCTACTCAGGAGGCTGAGGCAAGATGATCTCTTGAGGTGAGGAGTTCAAGGCTGCAGTGAGCCATGGCTGTGCCACCGCACTCCATGGCTGCGCAAGTGAGTGAGACCCTGTCTCAAAACAAACAAATAAATAAATGAAAAGCATACTATGACCTAAGTCCACCCTGAACTCTCTCTCCTTTGAACTCTCATTACATTATGACAATGCCCAAATGTTTACAATTTTACCTGCTCTAATTTTTGTATTTTCATTTGCAGTTGAAACCACACGAGATTTTAGGTCTTTTGGAGATAGGGACTTGTGCTATATTTCTTTGAGTTACCCTCCATCTGCTTTATTTATGACTGACAGTCATTAAGAAACTCGCATTTCTTGCACCCCTTCCCTTTTAGTAACAGTCATTTGGGCCCCTAATAGCCTGATCTGTTGATCAATAACTGATTCCAGAATGGGCATGTGAACCAGATGGTCCAATCAGAGTAAGACAGAGGATTTTTCTTTGATGGTTAAGGGAAAGGAAACTTTCTGTTCTAAACTCTGCGGTGTGCAAGGGTGGTATGGTTTGGCTCTGTGTCCTCAACCAAATCCCATCTCAAGTTAAAATCCCCACATGTGGAGGTAGAGACCTGGTGGGAGGTGATTGGATCATGGGGGCAGTTTCCCCATGTTGTTCTCATGATAGTGAGTGAGTTGTCATGAGATCTGATGGTTTAAAAGTGTTTGTCAGCTCCCCCCTCGCTCTGTCTTTCTCTCTCTCTCCCCTGCTGCCTTGTGAAGACATGCCTTGCTTCCCCTTCGCCTTCACCTTCCATGATGACTGTAACTTCCCTGAGGCCTCCCCAGCCGTGCAGAACTGTGAGTTAATTAAACCTTTTTGTTTATAAATTACTCAGCCTCAGGGAGTACTTTTATAGCAGTGTAAAAATGGACTAATATAGGGGATAAGGCTTGAAACCCCTGCAGCCTTTTATCACCACTAGGGAAAGCATCCTGAAAAGACGCCGTTGGAACAAAGTGCATCAGACAAGAAAATAGCAGAGAAACTCAGCTGCTGGAGACCAAGTTGATCCATACACAAAGCTGCCTGCTACCTCTAGTGTTGTCTTGTTTCCTGAGGCAACACATTCTCTGTATTGTTTAAGCTATGTTATGTGAGGTCTTTATGGTACTTGAAAATGATTCTGTTCTAATTGATACTTAGATACCAGGAGCAACAATTTTGCACTAGATAATTCCTAGGAGATATAATACAGAAGGACACATACCATAGTTTTATGTTTGCTTAACAGTAAGTTTTGAGGCTTACACTAAGAAAACACTATAGAACTTATTCTAGTGTCTCATTCTTGCATTTGTGAGTCTGTGTGTGTGAGAGGGTGAGCGAGAAAGAAGAAACACTATGGTGAGTTGCAATTTATTATTATAAGATTATGTTCTCTGAGAAGCAATTAACCTTATTCTAAGGAATAAAACAGTGGAGGCTAGTTACTCAAATGATGCTCTTAAAGTGACTTGTGAAAAATTCATATAATTAGATAACTGGATATTTAAATGAAATTTTTGAACTATAATACCTATTTTTATTATTTTGTAAACACTTTGGTTTAAGAAATTTTTTACCTACTTATACATTTCTGTTATCTGAAAGAGAACAATGGTTTTTATAAATAGTAATCGTGGCTGATAGGCAGTCTTTTTCTTTGACTTTCTTTCCCCTGGAATGTGGACATGCAACTCTAGGCCAAACACTAGATTTTTATGCATTATGACACTGTTTTATAAAGGAAGCTGACAGAGTTGTTTTGAGGGAGGAAAATAAAAAAGAGAAGAAAAGATGCATTCCAAATGTAGTTAACTGCTTTATAGTTGGCTACTAAACATTGTTAGTATACGGCCCATAAATCCAAGCTTTTGATGTCTTAAAATATAAAATGTCATTAGAAAATTAGGACATATTCTTAGGGCTTTTAATGGTAGACATAGAACCTGGTTTGAATTTGGATCCTCAAAGCTTTTTGAGTGTGCACAGATCTCTCAATGATTCTGGAACTGTTTTAAAAGTGAGGGGAAGGTAATCAGAGCCCAGGAATTTTGTTGCTTAGAATTACTACCAAACCACTTCTAACAAGAGCAGCTGGATGCCAGCTGGATGGCACTATCTTGGATAAGAAACATAGCTCAGTAATCCTTTAAAAAATAAGATGTGTTTCAACAAAAAGGAATGTTGGTTAAAGGGAAAATTTGAATTTAGAAACCCTACACTGAGTGAATTAATTGACCCTAGTTCTTGGTATTTATGTTGAGGTACCTTATATTATCATTGACTTATTCATTAATAATTATTTAATGAGGACCTATGTGTGCCAGGTATTCCTCCAGAGACTGAAGATAAAGATCACTGTCATCGAGATTGTGGCCCAGTAGGTGAGTCAGACAATAAAAAATATAAATATATATAAAAGGTAATGTATATTAGCAACCACTGAAAGAAAAATATAAGAAGGGGATTTAAAGTGCTGGTGTGAGTACAGGATGCCTGTTACTTTTAGAAAAGATGACAAAGAAGCACTTCATTAAGAAAAGCTTCTGAGTAAAGATTGGAAAGTGCAAGGAAAGCAGCAGCCAGATATTTTGGCAAAAACAGCAGTTGAGGCAGAGTGAAGGGCATGTGCAAAGGCCCTGAGGCAAGAGCTACTTAGCAAACTGTAAAAAATAGATTATGAGATCAGAGAGGTAATAAGGGAGAAAATCTTCATTAAAGACATAGTGCATATACACGTATATTTATTGCAGCACTATTCACAATAGCAAAGACTTGGAACTAACCCAAATGTCCATCAATGATAGACTGGATAAAGAAAATGTGGCACATATACAGCATGGAATACTATGCAGCCATAAAAAAGGATGAGCTCATGTCCTTTGCAGGGACATGGATGAAGCTGGAAACCATCATTCTCAGCAAACTATCACAAAGACAGAAAACCAAACACTGCATGTTCTCACTCATAGGTGGGAACTGAACAATGAAAACACATGGACACAGGGAGAGGAACATCACACACTGGGGCCTGTTAGAGGGTGGAGGGCTAGGGGAGGGAGAGCATTAGGAGAAATAACTAATGTAAATGATGAGTTGATGGGTACAGCAAACCAATATGGCACATGTATACCTATGTGTCAAACTTGCATGTTGTGCGCATGTACCCTAGAACTTAAGTATAATAAAAAAATAAAATAAATAAAATAAAATAGTACAAATACTCTGAAAAAAAAGGCATAGCACATATCTTGACATTTACCCTGAGTGAATTGGTAAGCCACTAAATGTTTTCATAATCAGTTCTGTTATTTCGCTATGTGCAATAGTTCTTTTATTATTTTTAACTTTCCTTTTTTTTTCTCCCCTGTGGTGCCTTCTATTTTTAACTGGCAAGTCAAACAATCACTGTTATATCTCAGATGTTCTTATGTTTCTCTTGATGTTTCTTTTTATAGCTTGTGGAATTCACAGCAGGTAATTTCTGAACCTTTCTCCTTCTTCCTTCCCCTCCCCTCCCCCTCCTTCTCCCTTCTCCCTTCCCCCTCTTCCTGTTCTCCCCTTCTCATTCTTTCCTTGTCCTCCTTTACCCCCACTTCCTCTTCTTCTTTTACTTCTTCTCCTAGTAAATATATTCTAGATATAGTCATTTTTCTAAATCTTAAAGATAATACTGAAACCAACTCAGTAGTCCCATAGATAAGTTCTTCTGGATAAACATAGAAATTGACCCTCTGGTCTTAAAGCTCGAAACTTATATTTGTTTTATCTGAGTTCCTTCCTCAGGCAACCAGCTTCAGGCTTCTCAAAAAATATCAAAGAACTGAAACTCACCAGATCACTACATCCAGACGATGAGATGCCAGGCCTCTCATTCCTCATAATGGCTTCCTTGCCCCTCCCCAGTTGCTGTTTTCTTATACATTTCTTACACATCTTCCCTGCTATATAAGCCTGCAGTTTTACTTGGTCTTGGAGATGGATTTGAGGCTGAGCTCCCACCTTCTCGGCTGCAGCGCCCGATTAAAGCCTTCTTCCTTGCCAGTACTCATTACCTCAGTCACTGGCTTTCTGTGAAGCAAGCAGCAGGCCCTAGACTGAATCCCTCGTGTTTCGGTAACAATACTACTCTTGTTTTTCCATAATAGATGGCAAAGTCTGACAAGTCCGTTTATTTTCCTCTGCACTCATTCCTGGAAAAGGAGTGAGTTACTCAGAATTGGCATTAGCCTGTGTCCTGTGCTGCACACATGGTTCACATAAGTCCTGCTAGACATAGTACCTCCTATCACAACCTCAAGTTTAGAGCACTACATCTGTCTATGCTTCATTTTTGGTGTCCACCAGGATTTGTCCAGGTTAATTCTGCAGGACTAAGGATGTCCTGCTATGAATGCAGAATTGTCAGATATAGGCTGATTTTGAATTCTCTATTTCAGGTGGAAAATTGTGTTTAATTCAGAATATTTATTTATTTATTTATTTATTTATTTATTGAGACGGAATCATGCTCTGTTGCTCAGACTGGAGTGCGGTGGCACAATCTCTGCTCACTGCAACCTCTGCCTCCTGGGTTCAAGCAATTCTCCTGCCTGGACTACAGGTACATGTCACCACACCCGGCTAATTTTTGTATTTTTAGTAGATTCAGAGTTTCACCATATTGGCCAGGTTGATCTTGAACTCCCGACCTCAAGTGATCTGCCTACCTTGGCCTCCCAAAGTGCTGGGGTTATAGGCGTGAGCCACCGTGCTTGGCCTTAATTCAGAATTATTCTACAATTCAGGGCTATCAAGGACACTTCATTGAAACATCCTTAAAATCAGGTTATGATTGTTTCTATTTCATTTTTATTTTATTACCTTTTGTGTGTGTGTTCTGAAATGTCTTCTTGAAATTTATTCTTCACGTATATTTTTAAATTGTTTTGCATTTGAAATATTTATAAAGCATTTATTACATATTCTGAAGTACATGTATAAATTTATAAACAAATGGGATATAATACAGGTTGATAACATGCTACCAGCTGGCCATTATGTTAAGCCATGTTAACTCAGAAAGCTGCTCTAATAATTTCCAATCAAAAAAGTAACCTGTAGACACACTATTTCACACTCACTAGTATGGATGAAAAAAGTCTAAAATCCAAAAAGGTTTTGTGAATACAGAGCAAAAGGAACTCTCTGCCCCTGCTGGTGGAATTGCAGTTTAGCATAATGACTGTAGAAAACTGGCAGTTGCTTCTAAAGTTAAACATATATTGACCTTATGACCTTGAAATTCCATTTCTAGGTACTAATCTTAAAAAACAACAACAAAAACAAAAGAAAACAAAACAAAAATAAAACAAGGCCAGGTGCGGTGGCTCACACCTGTAATCCCAGCACTTTGGGAGGCTGAGACAGGTGCATCATGAGGTCAGGAGATTGAGACCAGCCTGGCCGACACGGTGAAACTCTGTCTTTACTAACAGTACCACCAAAAGACTTGTTTGAGACTGTTCATAACAGCTATATTTATAAACTTTTTAAAAAATTGGGTTGACCCAAAATATCTAAATAGGACAGTATCTAGAAATAATAGCATTTCAGACAGTGGAACACTACGCAGGAATCCTGATAAATGCACCAACAGGAATGACTTTCAAAGCATTGTCTTAAGTTGGTGATGCTAATGGAAAGAAGGTAAGAATAAGCGAAACAAATGCATCATGATAGAAATAAGCTGCGGTTGCCTTTGGGCCATGGGAGCTGACCAGCAGAGGCACGAAGACGCTTTCTAGGACCTTGAAAACACCCTAGATCTTGATTGAGATGCTAATTACATGAGTTTATATATTTATCAAAATGTACCAAAATCAACACTCTAGATCTGTGCAGATGAGATATGTAAATTTTACCTCAATAAGAAACAATTTTTTAAATTATAAATTTTATATTACCTCTTTTCTAAAATGGATATGAATTGGTAATACTAAAACAGTAGCAAAATTTGGAAATAGAATGTTCATTTTTATTTATTCATATTTGTTCATTTTAGCATAATCTTACAAATTAAAATAACACCATTAAATATCAATATGCCATTTTATTGTATTGCTATTGGATTTTACTTTTTTTTGTCAAAAGTGGTATTTTCAAGGGTATCAGAACAAATTCCTTTTAAGCAAAGGCTTTTTGTTAATATTATTGTAAATATAAAAATCATACATTATTATTAAACTATTATAAATATATCTCATAAATATAAATGTCATACTGAACACATCCCATTGATTTTTTACTTAAATTGTAATATTAACATTATTCAAGAATAGCACATATTATTATATATATTTCTCTGTGATTTTAAAATATGAAAGATAGCACAATGCATCAATACATCCCCTTCAAGTAGTGGTATTATTATATTTTTAATTCCATTTAAAATTCTCCATACTCACAATTTGGTCCTCATTGTAATTTTGACCAACATTTTAAGTTTCATGGCAGGTGACTGGGACCCAAAATGCTGTCTTACAAACTTATGAAACAAATTATTATGAGTAAAAAGTAAAAGAATGATTTCACTTTACCAAGAGCCGTTCTCATCTACATTCTTTCATTGCCCACAAGTGCAGTATGATTGATCAGAACATTTGTGGTGGAACATAAATTAGCCTTTAAGAAAAAGAAAGGCTAAGCTTACAAGACTTTATTTTCCATTAAAAACACATAATCCTAATATCAATGGTTTATATTCAAGGGAGGAACAAGTTTTTTCTTGGAGAACTAATGATAATACAATTATGACACCTATTGTGATTGAAATTATTTTATATATCACCATAATTGTAACTGCCCAGGTGATTTTTAAATGCACATTTCTTAATTCTCAGTAAAATTCAAATCATCTGGAAAAAAATGAGTTAATAAAAATGTAAAAAGGAGAAGCAATATAGAAAGAAACAAGACATGATAAATAAGATTTTTTTCCAAATTCAGATGATATTACAATATATATGTGATTACCAAATTGTTAGGAGTAAACAGAATAACCCCTTAAAGCAGACCATTCTTCAAAATGGCAGTCACATTCTTCGATACTCAACAGAGGTCCTCTGCCCCAGAATATTATTATGATTATTCCCAATTTCTTATTCCTGAGAGGACATATCATAAATTCTGTTATAATTTCAAATAAATTAATTGCCACACCCACAAAAGCAAGCCTTTAAACTTGAAGCAGTGAATTTTGTCACTGTTAAAACTCTCTATAGCTTTAACACTGATGTTACTACTCAGTTTCCTGTGCTGCGGGCATTCAAAATTAATGGACTGTAGAAAGCCCAAAGTCCAGTTGTTGGATGTTTTCAGCATTGCCAAATCTAGCATGTTTTCTTTAAACTGAGTGACAAGTTTTTTTTATAAGGTCTGTATTCATGGACAGGACCAAAGTATGTGCCCTATTTACATTTAAATTGCATATACATTTGATTTCCTACAGTTCCAGCGACAACTATCATCTTTAATAGAGTATTTCCATCTTGTTAGTGACTGATATTTGGAGTGAATAATTTTATCTGAGAATTTTTAGTTTCTCACACTTTACCATTAAATAGTCCCAATTTATGAAATAACACTTTGACTTTTTGAGAATATTATGCACCGTTTATTGCAAATATCTTCCCACTTTAACTTCACATCAAGTAATATAGGAAGGAAAGACAACTGAAAGTAAAGCATTGGGCATGAATGTCACATTTCTTGGCAGATTTTTAATTTAGCTTCTTAACCTTAATGTGAGATAAATGATACAATCCTCATTGCAGGGCTTACAGTACCATTTAAATATGTGACAACACTGGCGACAACATTGATCAGAAGCTGTGTGGGTTGTGGGGGGGGTCTTTAATGGACATAGATTGTCCAGATCTCAGTCACAAATTTCACTCAAAAGACAGCCTTTCTGGTGGCTAGTGACCCCTCCAGGGAACTCAGAGCTTCCATTTCAGCGTTTCTAAACATGCGATTTAGGTTGGTGGCTTTCCTGACCTTGTGATACTGTGCCACACCAAAAAAAAAAAAGGAAAGAAAAGAAAGGGAATTTCCACCTTGTTTGTTCCTCAAGCCTATCTTGGAAAATTAAAGAGACTGTGTCATATTAGTGAACATATGAACTTAACATCATTCACTTTTTCAAAAGAATTTTAGTGTAAAATACAACATTGTATTTTCAGTAATTTGGGGGAAATTATGATTTTTTGACAGTTCAATTGAATTGTAGTCAGTAGTATTACTGTAGATGAATCGTCTAAAGATTGGTAAGTAATTTTAATAGCAATGGAAAACGATGTTATGTAAATACAATGCTCAATAGGTAACAACTATTATTCAATAACAGATGAAGACAGAAAACTGTTCACATACATTATGATATAAAGAGAAATGGAAAAATCGGTTAGGAACACGAACTTTAGAGTGCTACAGCTCTCTTAAAATTTGTCTAGCAAGTTTCCCAGTTTTCACTGGAACCTCCGCTCCTATCAAAAAAAAAACCCACAAAAGACTTGAACTCTAGAATCAAGTTGGCTGATTTTCTATTCTAGGTTAGCACTTCTCGAGTGGGTAACTTTCATCAAGAACCCTGTCCTCTCTGGGCCTCAGTATGTTCATCTATAACATGGTGGTAACTCTGATGTCAGGAGTTCAAGACCAGCCTGGCCAACATGGTGAAATCCCGCCTCTACTAAAAATACAAAAATTAGGCCGGGCACGGTGGCTCACGCCTGTAATCCCAGCCTCTGGGAGGGTGAGGCGGGTGGATCACGAGTCAAGAGATCAAGACCATCCTGGCTAACACGGTGAAACCCCGTCTCTACTAAAAATCTGAAACAATTAGCCAGATGTGGTGGCAGGTGCCTGTAATCCCAGCTACTCGAGAGGCTGAGGCAGGAGAATCTCTTGAACTCAGGAGGTGGAGGTTGCAGTGAGCCGAGATCGCACCACTGCACTCCAGCCTGGGCGACAGAGCAAGACTTCGTCTCAAAAAAAAAAAAAAAAAAGGAAAAAAAAAAAATGGTAGTAACACTTCTAGGCCATTCTTAGGGCTGTTATTAAGATCAAATTAAGTGATACACATATAGCACATTACCTGATGGCCATCAGTAATTATTACATAAATTATGTATGTTTCTGTATTAATACCTTAAAAGAATACATTTTATATCCACTTATCATGATAGTTTCTAGACAGATTTATAGATTGGTTTAACTCAGGTCATAATCTCAGTAATTTATGTTTTTAAATTATGTTGCAGGAGTGCTGTTAGAAAACATTTATTCTTCCAACACTTTTAGAAATATCTGTTACTTTAAAAGGGCAGGGATAAATCCACCTTCTTTTCCCTAATTTCCACTTCCCCAGCACTGTTAAATTTTCTGCATGTTTGTTTACATAAATACTGAAAAAGCACAATGTGACTAGCATTTTCTATGTATATGAAGTATTGAAAATGCCCAATAGCTTTAAGACATGGTGAATGTATTACATGTGGTTCAATTGACATGAATGAATTTGCAAAAAATTGTTTCCTTAAAATATTTTTACTAACTGGAAGATTGGCCGTTATCCATGGTGGATGCAGAGAAGTGTTTCTAGAAGGAGCTCTGTCCCCTGAGAAGCTGCTAGATGTCCTGCCTGACGTATCCCCTGAATTGGAAACTGCTGATAATTAATGATTTGAGGATCTTTACTGGGTCATTCTTCCAATGTTCAAATTCATCCTCCCTGAAGTCTGAATTTTGTCCAGCCAGTTGATAATTTAATGCACTTGTCAAACATCTTTCACTTATTCTTATCATTGATCTTCCCTTGGGGTTTTTGACTGTCTCCTGTGGTGTTCATACTGAATGTGTAAGATTCAATTAAGGTCTTGGAAGGCATCTCAGTCTCCGTGCCTTTCATCCTTAGTGGCTGTACTTCTGTCTCCTCAACTAACTGCTCAGTGTGTTCCTTACTCAGCCATCGTCAATGGTGATTATAATTCTTGCTTCATTTCCTATGCTTTGGTTCACCACAGACACCTTACGGATGCCACAGGCATTAGCATCAGAGGTGATTTCAATCTGAAGAATGCTATGATACTCATGAGAAATGCCTCAAATGTCAGACTCTCCAACTAAGATTTTCCCTTCACCATTGCTTCCTCATCTTTGTAAATTCAAACAGTTGTCAGAATGTAAGGTCTGTGTCTCCTTGGTGGAAATGGGGCATTATGTTTGATCACAACAATTATGTCTTCATTATCCATTTTAATACCAAGGGAAACATGAGTGATGTCCAGATACAGAAAAGCCTAACATTTTTTCACTTATAATGAAAAACTATAAACATAAGCCTCTTTGCCAATATCATTTTTTTAATGAGGAAACCAGAACGAAGCTACTCTAGGAATTTTCCATTAATGTATTGTAGAGCACTGATCTCAACTGTCTGCACTGACAACTAGATTTCCTGTTCAACTGCTCCATCAAAAACAGATGTATTGTGGCTCATACTCTGGTTTAATTACTTACTATTGCACGAATCTTGCAAAGATTTCTGGAACTTGGGAATACACATACTGCCTTGACTCTATGACTTGCCAGGTATAAAGCTTTCTTTATGGGGTTTGGGGTGCTTGTCTTTACATCAGTTTTCAATCCTTCAAAATGTAGACTTCTTTATAGAAGAAATGTTTCTCAATATTGGTCTGAATGTTGATAGAGTACTTTAACATGTTTGTGAACTATGCAGAGTCAAGAAGCAGCATTTTGTCTCAGTTTTGTCGTTTTGGGATTGTATTTCATCTTGGTGATGAAATGGTTAAGCATTGGATTGTCCACCCAAGCGGGTGTACCTAGTTATAGACTTGGTTTTAAATATTTTGTCCTCAATAGTAAGGGTGAACATATCAAGGTGCCACGTTTAAGGTCACAAACCAACGCCAACACACTTTTTAAAAATCAACACACTTTTGGGCCTCAATATTTTGTCCAAATTATGATCAATAACAGTGACAGTTGGCTGATTGGGGATTTTAGTCACAATAAATGCAGCAATTAAGCAAGTGTCTTCATAACACTGGAAAGTTACTAACGTCGGTGATTCTGTGACAACAACTATGATAGGCTTCTGAAGTTTTCTGTATCTTTGTCAAAATCATAGAAATTACCTCTTCTGGGGAGATGCTTTTGTTCTCTCCCTTGCTCTCCACCTGGAACTGGGCACATTACATATCATTCACTATCATGGATAGCCATTGCTTCTTACCTGAATGGGCTGTTATATAACCAAATCTACATCCAGTCATCTGCTTGGCACCAGAAGCTGTTGGTGGGCTTCACTGAAACATGATTCTTTCCAGCAACAGTGATCAATCATTCTGTCAATGTAGCAATATGACTTAGAATTGTCTTATTTCCCTGTTCATTGCCAATGATCACACTTTTCCGTGTTGGAAAACACCTAGCCAGATATAGACGGTTTCAAGATCGTTGTCAACTGGCAGCACCTTTGATGTATTAGGAAGACAGATCTGTCTCACAGGAGGAAGATGTAGAGAAGATAGTGGTGCCTATGTAACATTCAATCTGTCGAAGTCACTTTTAATGTAAAATGATAAAGACATTCAAGAACAACCTTTTCAAACCCCTATCAGATTCTTAAACCACAATAAACCCCATTCCAGTGAAAATGCTAAGTGGAGAGAGCTCTTGTTTCTAGCAGGCTAGGAGAAAGAGATGGAGATGGGAGTGCCTCCTACAGTAGCAGCGGTGCAAAGGACCTAAAGGCAAATCAGAAAGTCATTCTGTGATGTACTAAAGGTCAAACTAAGAGAAAAATAATGTGAATATGGCTTAAGCAAAACGAAGCGAGCCAAGAGGTAACGCTTGGTTATACTGAAATCAAAAAGGCATAGAATTAAAAAACAGGTCAAAAGTGATAAAGTGGAGGAACAGTACGGCCAACTTCTGTAAATGTAAAGCCAGCATCTTTATGTGATCTTATAAATGCCTCTGATATACGTGGGTCCATGGTTTGGGGCCAAAGACATAGCTGTCATTCAATTGATAGCTAAAAACTTCCTGTCACTGGAAATCAAGTCCCTTCTGAGGATCTTTTTCCATATTTATCAAGTTTCTGAAATGGTGTGGATTAAATGTCCTCATCAGCCATTTGATTTTCTATAAACTTAAGCCTCTTTGCCAATATCATTTTTATAATGAAGAAACCAGAACAAAGCTACTCTAGGAATTTTCCATTAATGTATTGTAGAGCATTGATCTCAACTGTCTTCTAATGGATTTATAGTTATAATGAAGTGCAACAAATGCCAGGTGTTTTGACAGCTATTTCACTACCTGGTACTCGTGTTGAATTTACTACCAATTCAGTTGTTTATCTTTTTTCACTTCTGCTAAGCTATATACATTTCCTAAATTTGTTGTTATGATCATGATATTCTGGATAAGGTCATTCTTGCATTGCTATAAAGAAATACCCAACACTGGATAATGTATTTTTTTAAAAAGATGTTTAATTGACTTGCAGCTCTGTAGGCTTTACAGGAAGCATGGTTCTGGCACTTGCTTGGTTTCTGGGGAGGCCTCGGGAAGCTTACAATTGTGGCAGAAGGTGAAGAGGGAGCAGGCACATCACATGGCAAAAGCAGAAGCAAAGGAGCAAGTGAGTGGTGGGGTAAGTGCCACACATATTTAAAAGACGGGATCTCATGAGAACTCACGCACTATCGCAAAGACAGCACGAAGCCATGAGGAATCCGCACCCATGGCACAAACACCTCCCATCAGACCCTGTCTCCAGCATCGAAGATTACAGTTCAACATGAGATTTAGGTAAAGACAGCTATCCAAACTATGTCATATTCCATCTTTTTAAGTTCCATTCAGTTTTCAGGTTTACAAAGCCTATCTTGCATGCTTATTCTCTAGGAAGGGAATAATTTCACAAAAGAGGAACCAAAATTTAGCCTCATGGTCAGAAAAATATAAAGTGTAAAACTATTTTTTACTTTAAATGTAACAGATTTTTTACCTGTTAACTCTTCAAAAGCTGAGAGTGATATTTCTATATGTATTGAACATGGAAATTTGTATTCACAGTGTGTCCAGCTGGACAGGATTTGCAGAGAAAATTATGCTCTATTTAATCAAATATATCTTGAATTCGGATTCTATCATTCAACATCTTTAGAATTCATTCCAAGTTTGTATGCAGTTAGAACTCCTTCTGAATTGACGGCAAGTCTTGTGAAACTTTTTACTAACCTACCTAATTTTATTAGAATTGATCTCATGTCTTTTCCACAGAGTAATCATTAGAAACACTATCAAATATCTTTTGTAGGTCCTGGGAATGAGCCAAGTATTCCTGTCAAAGAAAGAAATACCATATTTGACAAAATTATTCTCAGATTTCTTCCAGCAGGTAGAAGCTAACTTTAGATATTTGTTACTAATTATATTTATTTGCATCCCTTCTTTCTATAAAAATTGCTTGAAATTGTAGCTAGCTTTAACATTGAGTATTTAACTAATTTATCTGATAATCTTTGAGGATGGCGTGTGGTGGTTTAAACAACAACAAAAATCCACAACCTTTTGAAACTCTCTCCCTTGAGAGCTGGAGGTCCACCCCCCATCCTTGAATCTAAGTGGGCTGGTGCTTGCTTCAACAAATAAAATGCCGCAGAAGTCACATAAGTTCCCTGAGGGTGTTTAAAGGGCCATGTAACTTCCTTCTAGTTCTCTTGGCACACTCACTATGAGGGGAGTCAAGGATCATGGAACAAGTCCAGCTACTCTGGGATTGACAAGTTTTGGGTGGTCTGGTGGAGAACCCCCCTCGAAGCCAAACATCTTGGCCATCCCTACCAAGGTGTCTGACATGTGAGTGGAGCGACTGTGGGCCTTCCAGTTCATCCCACCCACCAGCTAAGTACGGCTGAATGGCCCAGTTGAGGCATAAGCAGAAGACTCACCCCAGTCCCTGCAGCACACAATCCATGTGATATTACAAACATGCATATTGCTTGAAGCTACCTAAGTCTTCTTCTTTTTTTTTTTTTTTTTGTGACACAGAGTCTCTCTCTGTCACCCAGGCTGGAGTGCAAAGGTGCGATCTTGGCTCACTGCAACCTCCACCTCCCAGGTTCAAGCCATTCTCCTGCTTCAGCCTCCCGAGTAGGTGGGATTACAGGTGCCTGCCACCATGCCCAGCTAAATTTTTGTTTTTTTAGTAGAGACGGGGTTTCACTATGTTGGACAGGTTGGTCTCAAACTCCTGATCTCGTGATCTGCCTGCCTCGGCCTCCCAAAAGTGCTAGGATTACAGGCGTGAGCCACCGTGCCCGTCCTTAAGCTACTAAGTCTTGCAGGTAATTTGGTTTATAGCAATAGTAACTGGAAAAGGGAGAATGCCTTTTTTTCTTGTTTTAAAATAATAAATGCAGCACTGAACAATTTGGAGGCAGAAGGCAAGTACTATTAATTGATAAATGGTTTTCTTCCATCTAAATAATTTTTTATATGATGTCACTCTAACAATTCTTCATTTTTATTTTCATAAAATGTTTTGAGAACTGAAAATTATACTCAAAAGAACTTTGTATTTATCTTACAAAGCATTATCTCAAAAGCAGAATTCTTTCAATTTTATGGATTTAATAACTCAAATATAAATAATTTCTGACTTGGAAATCCTGTGTGAAATGAATAAATATTAACTGTGAAGTTACACTTATGAATACTTTAATTGGTAAGATTTATCAATCTCATAGAGTTGATCAAATTGAGATTTCAGAGACTGTTTGCCAAGAAATTGGAATTTTCTGTATTCCTATATTAGGTGAGTCATCTTAAAAGGAAATTGAGTCACCTAATCAAATTCTCAGCGTTATCGCCTGGCAACTGAGATACTTCCAACAGATAAATAAAATGTGACAGGCTGTTTTTTAATGCCTACTGATAAACTTCGTAGACCATTGAGATAACAGAGCAGTCTGTGTACCTGCTAACAGTTTAATTTAAACCAAATAAAGTTAGAGAAACAATAATTTATAATTTACCAAAAGCTTATTATTCCTTCCTTCTATGAGCCAGTTTAGTTACTGGTTAGAATAAAACATCTGCATGCTAGAGTTTGGAACCCAGAGTGTTCAGCATGACTCTATCATACTGAGTCAACCTTCTCAGTTATCTATGAGACCATCAATGCTCAATTGCTCCAGCAATCGCTCCTTCTCCTGAAATTTAATATTTTCCCTCTTTCCTGGATTATTCTCATCAGCATACAATACCTGAAAATTTCTATTATGAAAACAAACATTGTGCCTTTTTTTTTGGCCATGTCTCCATTTGTCTACTTTCCACTTTCCACTTGGCTGTTCCCTCTTCAAGCCATACTCTCTGTCTCCAGCTTCTCCATTTGTCTACTTTCCACTTTCCACTTGGCTGTTCCCTCTTCAAGCCATACTCTCTGTCTCCAGCTTCTTTCCTCCTGTTCTCTTTGAGGACACTGCAATCAGCTGGATATGCTTTCCACTCCACTGAAACCATCGGCAGGGGCACCAGTGACCTTCATGTGGCTAAAATCAGTGATCAATTCTCAGCCCTCAAATTACAAATTACTCTTTCATATCAGCAGCATCTGATGCAGTTAATTGATCTCTTCTATTAAATCATTTTCAAACTTGCCTTTCTGGAATCCACGACCCCGTGGTTTTCCTCTTACCTTATTGGCTACCTAGCGTTCTCATCTTACTTGCTTGTTTATCTTTTTCCCCTAACTCCTAAATGTACTATTTGTGTCCTCCGACATCTTCCTTCCTGCATTGTTACTTCCTGGATGATCTCTTCCAACCTCATCCCTTCTAATATGACTTCTATATTTATGAATCCCAAAATGTGCACCTGAAAACTGAATCCTATCCATGAGCTCCACAGTCGCATATCCAGTTTCTTACCTTGATTTTTCCTTGATGTTACAAAAAAGTCTCCATCTTTAAATGGACAAAACATAAACTTTGACCCTCTTCCCTTTCTTCTTCTCAATCATGTATAATAATAACTTGCATTTTATTGAAAATCATTTATTTATACACAGAAGTGGGAACCTGCAAAGACCTAATGACTTTTACCTTCTAAATCCCAGTGATTTATTCTACCAACAATTATAACTTTATATGTAACCCCCAGTTTTCCTCTGTTTATATAAAAAATAATTTTTTCCAGTCTAAACAATATTGCATCCATATATTATTCAATAAATTGTAAAAGGCTTTTACATAGATGATTTTATTTGGTCAATATTAAAAAAAGTGAAAAAGACTTTAAAAGAATATTTTTATTTTTCAATAACCCCTGGCAGAACTAAGGAGTTATACAGGGTCCCTCACCTGAAGTATCAATAGAAAGACTAGAAGCCATTTTCTAGGAATTCTTTCTTTTCTTTTTTTTTTTTTTTTTGAGAGGGAGTCTCACTCTGTCGCCCAGGCTGGAGTGCGGTGGCGCGATCTCGGCTCACTGCAAGCTCCGCCTCCCGGGTTCTGGCCTTTCTCCTGCCTCAGCCTCCCAAGTAGCTGGGACTACAGGCGCCCGCCACCACGCCCGGGTAATTTTTTGTATTTTCAGTAGAGATGGGGTTTCACCGTGTTAGCCAGGATGGTCTCGATCTCCTGACTTCATGATCCACCCACCTTGGCCTCCCAATTGGAATTCTGTTTCTATGCTCATCTGATAAATAGATCATCTATTTGGCTTCTGAACTCCTACCACTGAACAGGAGTTTCAGCAGCTTCAGGAAATCCTCACACACCTTTACAAACCAAATTCTAATGGATACTGTATCTGTGGCTCTATTTTAAATTCTATTGTTTTGATAGGTCTGCGTGTTCCTGCACCTACCAACTGCTTCAATTATTGAAGTATGATCTAATAAACTTTAGGCTTATCATTCACTGAACTACATTAAAAATTATTGGTTCTTGGCCGGGTGCGGTGGCTCACGCTGTAATCTCAGCACTTTGGGAGACAGAGGTGGGCAGATCACGAGGTCAGAAGTTTGCAACCAGCCTGGCCAACATGGTGAAACCCCTTCTCTACTAAAAATACAAAAATTACTAAAATGAGGAATTTGTGGTAAATGTACTAGATTGGTCTCACATATCACTTTGGAGCCACCAAAGAAACCTCACTGAAATTATAGCAAAGATGTGAAAAAACAGCCTTACAAAGACAGAAAAAATGAAAAGAGAGGATGCAAAAATGAAAAGGACAGTGGTTAGAAATAGCAAGCAACCTGCAGGTGGGAAAAAGTTAAAGGCTAACATCCTACCAGTGGGAGAAGGGTAAGGGGAGACGGAAACCAGGACACTGGTCAATGTCCATGGCAGATTCCAAGCAGGTCTCAGAAAACGGAGGAAGCCTGCGTTAGACACAGAGTGCTTGGGAGTGGGAAAAGTTGAACACATCCAAAGATTTTGAAAGAAGTCAGACCTCTTGATCTCTACCCTCCAACCCAGAAAACTAGCAGTTAATCACTGGCTCCAAAGGTTGAAGATTTTTCTGAACAGTTTACATCAGATAAAATTTTGATTTCTGGAAGATTTAGTTAAATTATTCCTGTGGTCAGTGAGTATCAGAAGCCAGACTGATAGGCCCATCCTGAAGGTAAAGGATTTCTCTGGTAAGTTAACTAGGATAAAAGACAGTCCAGAGAGATGCTGCTAGATGTGATTATCCAAAAGAAAAAGTCTAAATTTTACCCACGCTATCTATAGAGAAGCCCATTATTCATAAGCCCATCATTCTTCCTTAGGCCCGGAAGTTTAAAAATTTTATTTTATTTTATTTTGAGACAAGGTCTCACTCTGTCTTCCAAGCTGGAATGCAGTGATGCAATCTTGGCTCACTGCCTCCACCTCTCCATGTCACTATCTCATTCTGAAATATAAACTGAGGGACAAGACGTACCGGATTTTGAGGAGAGTTTCAAATAAGAAAAACAGAGGCCAAACCCCAATAAATTAACAAACAAAAAGTACTTAGTGGAAACTGTGATATTTCCAGAAAAGAAAGTAGCCTAGAAATAAGTAACTGATGCACTCGGAAATATTGGAAGAAAGAAAATATTGTACCATGACATTAAAACAAGATGTTATATTTTTTAAAAATTCAAAAGATCATATAATTAGTTATGCACACACACACAATGGTAGCAGAAAAATCAGTAGGAGATTTAGATGTTTAAATTGAGAAAATCTCAGTGGAGTGGAAGAGAAAGAAAACAAACTGTAAAAGTGGATGAAGAAGTAAGTAAATGGGAAGATCCATCTAAAGCATCAATATTCCTAAAACAAATTTTCTCAAAAAAGAGGAGGAAAAGGCAAAAATATTCAAGAAACAAAGAAAAAATTTCAGAACATACTCAGACATGACTTTCCAAGTGGAAACTCCACTGAGGGCCTGTCATAGTAAATTAAAAAATGGCAACGCCAAAGCATGGAATCACTAAGACTGGGAAAAATCTTCAGGAAGAAAAAAAGTTACACATAGCAAATCAGGAGTGAGAATGACAGAATGGAACCTAATACCACATGCGGAGAAGCTGATATCAAGAAGCTAGAACATGGCCGGGCGCGGTGGCTCACGCCTGTAATCCCAGCACTTTGGGAGGCCGAGGTGGGCGGATCACAAGGTCAGGAGATCGAGACCATCCTGGCTAACACGGTGAAACCTCATCTCTACTAAAAATACAAAAAATTAGCCGGGCGTAGTGGCGGGCGCCTGTAGTCCCAGCTACTCGGGAGGCTGAGGCGGGAGAATGGCGGGAACCCGGGAGGCGGAGCTTGCAGTGAGCCGAGATCGCGCCCCTGCAGTCCAGCCTGGGCGACAGAGCGAGACTCCGTCTCAAAAAAAAAAAAGAAGCTAGAACATGATGTGAAGCCTTCATATTTCTGACAAAATAATTTTTGATTCATCATCCTATACACAATCAACTGCCAATCAAATGTGGGAGTTGAATGAAGACATTTTTCAGAACACAAGGGCTATATGTATTAGCCTTCAGTGCACTCTTACTCAGGGAGCTACTAAAGAGTGCACCTTACGAACATGAGAGGTAAAATTAAGAAATGTCTTTTGGAAGGCTGGAGAGGTGACTTACACCTGTAATCCCAGCACTTTGGGAGGCCAAGGTGGGAGTATGACTTGAGCCTAGGAGTTTGAGATCACCCTGGGCAACAAAGTGAGACCTGTCTCCACACACACACACACAAAGGTAAAAATTAGCTGAGTGTGGTGGTGCATGCCTGTACACTGAGGCAGGAGGATCCCTTGAGTGCAGGAGGTTGAAGTTGCCTGGGTGACACAGAGAGACTGTGTCCCAAAATATAAAAAGTAAAATATAAAGAAAATCTTTTGTGGCCTGCGAAAGAGGGGAGACAGCCTAGGAGAAAAAGAATTAAATCATGTGACAAGATTGACAGAGAAAGATTAGTGAGACACTGTTCAAGTTACAAGTGACAGATGGAGGACTCGGAAATTAGGTCTCTATAACAAAGAAAATTTAAAAAGAACAAGTAAATAATCTTATAAATAATTAGATATTCTGCCATATTTAAAATATTATACATATTTTAGAGTAATATATCAGAGGAAAAATTTCTGATATGTGCATATGAAATTTAAGAATAAAAATGCAATATTCACCTATAAGTACAAAATGTTACACAAGAACAAAATTATGTACATTGTACAAAAAATGATTCAGTAACAAGTAATTTTTAAATAGCCCAAAGAATGTAAATATTTCAATACTGATTAGACAAGAAATCATTGGGATATATATACTCCCTATACATAGCTGGTATGCGTGTATGTGTGTGTGTGTGTGTGTGTGTGTATCGCATATATAACTGGGATGTGTATGTATATCTAAATATATATATCCACATTTATATACACACACTATATGTGTATGTATGTCTATGTATGTTTGTGTATATATAATATATATTTCATGAGAAAAAGCAAAATGATGTATTTGTGTGTATGATTAGATGGATAATAAATTTAAATGCTGTTTCTTTAGAAGGATGGCAATAGATAATATCTAAAAGTCACAAATATGAAAACACATTTAATTATTTGTATTCAATTTCTTAAACTATGGCTATGTATTGCTTTGCTAGAAATAAAACTAAAGTTACATAAATTAAATGAAAGAATAGCTAAACAATCCTGAGAAACAAGGAAGAAATTGGAAAACTCACACATACCCATTTCAAAAGTCACTACAAGCTATGGTAATCCAGGCAGAGTGATTCTGGCATAAGGATGGACAAACCAGCAGAGTAGAATGGAAACTCTAGAAGTATATCCTAACATTTATGGTTAATTGATCTTTGACAAAGAGGCAAAGACACATCAATGAGAAAATAATTGTTTTTTCAACATGTGCTACAAACCAAACTAACAAAAAGATACCACTTCACATCCACGAGAATGGTGTCACCAAAAAGATAACAAACACAAGTGCTGGAGAGAATGAGGAGAAATTGAAACCCTCGTTCACTGCTGGTGCAAATGTTTTAGGTTGGTGCAAAGGTAATTGCGGTTTTGTCAGTACTTCTAAATGGCAAAAACCGCAACTACTTTTGCACCAACCTAATAAAACAGTACAGTCACATTGGAATATAGTCTAGAGGTTTCTTTAATGATTAAACATAAAGTTCCCATATGATCCAAGTATTTTGCTCCTGGATATATACCCAACAGAAATGAAAACGTGTCCACACAGAAACTCATACATGGGTGTTTGTAGCAAAATTATTTATAATAAACAGTGAAAACAACCCAAAGTCTGTCAACTAAGAAACAGACACACTAAATGTGGAATATTTTGCCATAAAAATGAGGAACTACCGGTACATGCTACAACATAGATAGACCTTGAAAATGTTATGCCGGGCAAAAGAAGCCAGTCACCACAGGCCACATATGATGTGACTCTATTTGAAATGCCCAGATTACTCACATCCATAGAGACACAAAGCAGATTCAGGATTGTCTAATTTGGGAGCTGAAGGAGAAGAACATGGGAGGAGCTGGGTTTGCAGAGCAACTGCTGATGGGCATGAGATTTCTTTCCGGGGTGAGGAAACTGTTCGGATATCATATCATGGTGGTAATTGCACACTCTGTATGCTAAAAATCCATTGAGTTGCACCCACAAGTAGATTTATGGTAAGTAAATTGTATCTCAATAAAGCTGTATGTATTTTTTAAAGAGGTTCAGAAAACAAATAAATTCAGCTCTTGTTCCATAGCTCGTAAATTACTTCCCCATGGTGGCATGTCTTAGCTGGCTGTGGCCACCAAGTTCTGTCAGCACTGACCCACGGCTATAGACAGAGCCACTCCTCCTAATACAATTTTAATACCTTTTAAACAACATACGGTAGAATAATTCATTCTTCCATCAGTATCCTGCATTAGGCATAGTGGAGCCTTCTCCAGCATGGATTTTTCTGCATCGAATGGTTCACGGAATGGTTACGGAATCAAAAGACTATCTTCGATTTAACATGCAGGCTTTCCTGTCAAATCCACTTTCAGATGTTTACAAGGTGTGAAATGTTTTTCACATTATCATATTCTCCTTCACTGGGTGCATTTGGGAAAATGCAACAATGCATGCTGGATCCACAGGTCGTGACGCATTGTCCTGTGCGAGAATTCCTGCTGTTTCCCTGGCGATTGAAAGACACTGAATGGAATGCAATGAAGAAAATCCACCATTGAATAAATACAGCTATTTCTTTCCCACACGTAAAGCACCGTTTGAGGAAGGGTAAAATGTTGATGTATAATACATCATAATGCTGATTTGAAAAGCTGTATTCTCACTATTGATTTGAGAACTCTTTGACGATCTCATAAATATTCACAGCACATCTTTATTGAGTGCTTATAATATGCCAGACACTATTCCTTCCTTTAGTAGGTCTCTTCAGAGAGTCTGACACCTTGAGTAAGAGACATTCACATCTATTTTCTTTCTTTTCTTTTTTTTTAAGACGTAGTCTTGCTCTGTTGCCCAGGCTGGAGTGCAGTGGCATGATATTGGCTCACTGCAACCTCTGCCTCCCAGGCTCAAGTGATTCTCCTGTCTCAACCACCTGAGCAGCTGGGACTACAGGTGCCTGCCACCACACCCGGCTAATTTTTGTATTTTTAGTAGAGATGGGGTTTCACCATGTTGGCCAGGCTGCTCTCCAACTCCTGACCTCCACCCACCTTGGCCTACCAAAGTGCTGGGATTACAGGTGTGAGCCACCGCACCCGGCCTCACATCTATTCTCTCTGAAGCCTGCGACCTGGAGGCTGCCTCTCTATGACAAGAGCCTTGGCTTCATAACCCCCTTTACCTTAACTCAAGCTGACTCCAACTTTGCAGGCAGAGCTTATCCCTTTCAACCAATTGCCAATCAGGAAATCCGTGAGTCCACCTAGACCTATAAGCCCCACCCCCAGCTTTGCATTGTTCTGCCATTCAGGACCAAACGAATGTAAACCTGACATATACTCATTGATGTCTTATGTCTCTCTAAAACATATAAAGCCAAGCTGTCACCCAACCACCTTGGCACATGTTCTCAGGACCTCCTGAGGCTGTGTCATGGGCCCTTGTCCTTAAACTTAACAAAATAAACTTCTAACTTGATTGAGACATGTCTCAGATACTTTTGGTTTACAAACCTGTTGAATGAAATTCAGCCTAAAGCTGCCTCCTTACATATTTTAAGTTCGGCCTAAAGGTTTTGTAGCACATAGTGAACTATAACCTAAAGGAGGTATAAACAGACTGTAATCAGACTGTAATCTACTCTTGTGCCAATCGCCGAGTTTTGGCCAATCCAAGAAGCACAACTGTTCAAACTGTGTTCACATAAAGCAAACATGGAGCTGTCTCCAATATTTCTGTTCCTGCACTTCCTCTTTCTGTCTTCTGCCCATAAGCCCTCTTCCACCACATGGTTGTGCCGGAGCCTCTGAAGCTACTCTGGGTTGTGAGGCTGCCCAATTTGAGAATTATTCTTTGCTTAGTTAAACTCTGTTCAATTTAATTTGGCAAAGGCTTTTCTTTTAACCAACCAGATCCCCTTTCCCCAAATCCAGCCATAAAACCTACAAGTATTACTCGAACTTTCCCTTTGCCTTTTTGTGTAAAAGCTGGCCAGAAAATTGAGAAATTTTTTGACCGTAGCACATAAAATCCCCATTCCAGGGAGGTCTTGTCCCACCCCAGAAGGAAGGACGCTGCTCAGAGAGGCCAGAAAGAGTCTAGAGAGACAGGCCTTGCTGGGTGACCCCGCTCCGTCTATTAACAGTAGATCACACCCTTTGTGTCCCTCCATATTTCTACCTGGCTGTCCATACACTGTTAAATCTAAGCATAAAATGACAGTTTCCCCTGTGCGAGTCTTCATTCTGAAGGCTCCTGTGTAGACACATTAAATGAATTTGTATGTGTTTCTCCAATTAATCTGCCTTGTTGATTTTTAGTGAACTTTCAGAGGGTGAAGGAAACCCTTCCCCATACATATTCTTCTACTGAACCTCTACGTATGTTCAAATTAATAGCTTTAGGTAAATAAACTTAGATTTTTCAAATGTAAAGATTCATTTTAAACCAATACTTACATTTCTGTCAGAATGTAAATGTGTCTTTGGGGTCTTGCAAGCTACTCCGTTATTTGGGCTAATTTCTATTACGGTACTATAAACTAAAGTACTATTTAAAATTGAAAATCAGGCTGCATCTGAGTTGAAACTGTGAACAAATAATTAGTTTTGAAAGCTAGTATTTATTTATGTTAACATTAAGAGGGGCCAATTTGTAACACCATCGTCCCTCAGAAGTAATAGGAAACAACTTCAAATAGCACATCAAACTTTAATTTGCCCTTTGTTATATTTACAAGATTTGTAATGTAGTATTTTTACAGATAACAATAGTGATGTGGTTTGGATGTGTGTCCCCACCCAGATCGCACATTGAATTGTAATTCCCAGTGTTGGAAGTGGGGCCCAGTGGGAGGTGATTGGATCATGGAGTGAATTTCTCAAAAAATGGTTTAGTACCATCCCGTGATAGTGATAGTGAGTTCTCACAAGATCTGGTTATTTAAAAGTAGGTGGCACCTTCCCCCCCATCTCTCGTGTTCCTGTTCCTACCATGTAAGATGCTTACTTCCCCTTTGCCTTCTGCCAGGATTGGAAGCTTCCTGAAGCCTCCCCAAAAGCAGAAGCTGCTATGCTTCCCACACAGCCTGCAGGACCATGGGCCAATGTAACCTCTTTTCTTTATAAATTATCCAGTCTCGGGTACTTCTTCATACCAATGCGAGAATAGTCTCACACAAATAGATTCTCCTGTTTAAACCTAAAGAAATTTTTATCACAAAAAGTACTTCTTTATAAAGAAAACCAATAAAATTATTTACTTAACTGACATTTTAACATAGAATACTCTCGTAATCATAAATAATGCCATATTGGTAATTTGAATGGTAAAGAAATAGTTTTCAAAACTGCATATGAACTTTAATATTTTTCTGTTTTCCTAAATTAATCTTTATGTTTTTATTTAACACATAAGACGGAGATAAACTTTTGCAAGTTTATATGTATTTCAATAAAATCTGACACCTACATATTCTTAATACCAAAACAATGCTTTATTCCGTAGGATCAGCTATAGAAAAGATAAAAGAAAATAACAGGTTTTGGATGACCACAGGCTTGAGCACTTATCAAGGAAGAATTAGGGCAACTCAAAGAAATTGCTAGTATGTAAGAAACGCTTTATTGGCGGTTGTCAAGAGCAAGCAAAATTTTCCCTCCTTATCTCTGTGAGATTCTTTTCACTAGCAGCAGTTTTCAAGGCCAAGCACTAGAGTTCTATTTTTACTGAAAGAAACAAGTAGAACGAAGAAAGTAGGAACTTCAAATATACAAGATAAAAAGAATATAAGATGACTGAAATAATGGAAACCAAAATATTTTACCCCAAAATACCCTTCTTTGATATATTTTAAGATGGATGTTCAGAGGGCCTGTGACCATGGGCAGCCCTGCAAAGGTCTTCTGTTGGGAAGACTTGCACCTGCAGGGAAAATCCACATCCACGCAGCCTGGCTTTCTCTGAGACCCTCCCTTCTCCAGATCTAGAAAAGATTGGCAGAGAGTGACGCCTTTAAAGGTCCAAAAGAGACATTTCCCATCTATTCCCCCTGAGTCCTGCTGCCTGGGAGGTTTCATCTACGTAATGAGACCACCTTTGCAGGCCAGGCCAGGCCTCCTCTTCTCTGCCTCCCATACCCTGTCCTGTCTAAAGCTGATTTACTACCATAACCTGTTTTCCCAAGATCCAAGCTTATATACTTTCTGTAACCTCCAGATGGTATAAAAGCATCAACTATCTGGACATTTTTTGGTGCTCTTGTATTTTGTATGCCTCCTGCGTGTGTTAATAAATTTGTATGCCTTTTCTCCTATTACATTGTCTTTTGTCAATTGATTTTCATTAAATCTTCAGAAGGCAAAAGAGAAGTTTTCCCTTGGCCCCCACAATAACAAAAGAAGTTTGAAGGTTAATGTTTTGTCCAAAAAAATTCCAGTTTTCTCAAGTGCATATATGTTTTTTCAAGGCAAACCACCAATTCTGAAGCTTGATTATTATTATTGATACATTATGTATTATATTTACATTAACTGATAGGTTGGTTTTTGGGAATTTGTAGGAACAAAGCATTTTTTTAAAAAAATGAGTAGGACATATAATTTTTTAAGGTCATTCTACTAGTATGACTCATACTAGTACAAAATTCTTTCACCTTTCTGAAATGCTATAGATAAAAGATACATTTCTAAATCACAAGCCCTTCCCAGATTCAGGTACCTGAACATGATGATTTGTTCTGAGAGGGCTCACCTTATTCAAATGTACCCTCACCGAGTACCTCTGAAATTATGTTGACTTACAACCAAGGTTAGAAAATTTAAACAATACACCCTGTGTGATGCCAAATACATGACTTGGATTAAAAGTAGATTCTAGAAAGATTATTTTTATACTTCATTCCTTCATGCTGTTAATTATATACCTCACAAAAGTATATAGCTAAGGTTATATTTTATCTGTAGTTAGATTAAATACAGTGATTATTCTAATGAGTAACTACTGATAAACCTGAATTTCTTATAGCTGCAACTGTAAACACACTCTATAGCCTCCAATTCTTATAGTTCCTTGTGTTAAAAGTTAAAGGGGAAACAATTCAATACTTTCATACTTATTTTTAAAGGGATAATAATAATTTCCCAAAGTTTTTAAAAACATGAAATTGTAACAATTTTAACCTATAAACTCAGTATCTACTGATTCTATAATAGAATTATTTGAATGTGACAATAAATAAATCTAATTAGCTTATAGGAAATGGGGATTTACTGGTAAAATAATAACTTTCAGAAATAACAAAGTATATGAAGAGTGTCCAGTGTTTTGTAGCAGTCTCTAGTGTATTTTAAAACCATAAAACCTAGCTAGGTGCAGTGGCTTACATCTGTAATCCCAGCACTTTGGAAGGCCAAGGCAGGTGGATCATGAGGTCAGGAGTTCAATAACAGTCTGGCCAACATGGTGAAACCCTGTCTCTACTAAAAGTACAAAAATTAGCTGGGCATGGTGGCACGTACCTGTAATCCCAGCTACTCAGGAGGCTAAGGCACAGAATTGCTTGAACCCGGGAGGCAGAGGTTGCAGTGAGCCGAGATCGAGCCACTGCACTCCAGCCTGGGCATCAGGGCAAAACTCTGTCTCAAAAAAAAAATCCATAAAGTCTAATAATATTCATGAACTATGGGTACTGATATTTCTGCTGTATACAGAAAGTTCTCAAAAGAAACTGACAAGAATGAAGCTGGAGCTCCGCGTTCCAGTTGTTCTTGATGTCTTCACAGAGATGGCTACACTTCTTACAATTATTACTAGACTTGTTAATAAATGGGTTGATCTGTGGCCTCGACAAGAAAATGGTGAGTAAGAAACCAAATTAATAAAGTGATGTAAAGTGGAAAGATCGTCGATTGCACCAAACCCTAATGGGGAATGCATTTATTTTATTTAGAGAACGAAAGGTAAGAGGAGAAAAGATATATGCAGTTGGACTGTTGAGCAGCTATTTTTGGGGGATTGAGGAGAAACAGGTGTGTTCCAGGATGTTGGATAAAATATTGGAAAGTGCAAATGGAATAAGAAGAAGCTATACAACCTCATTAATTATAGCATAAAACCAAAGTAAAAATATGAGAGACAATTATTCACCTGTCAGATTAACAAATACAGAAAAGTTTGTTAGTACTTTGCCTTCAAGCAAATGGAGAACAGCACTTTGTTACCTTATTGATAGGTATATAAGTTAGTACAACCTCTAAAGAGGGCAATCTGGCAATATCTATAAAAGTTGGAATGTACATGAATTTGGCTCAGTAATTCCACAGCTTGAAATGTATTTTCTCCTGTGTTAATATATCTACATGAAAATGACTATGCCTGTGTCACCACTCCTCATAATGTACCTTTATTTGTTGTAGATTAATAGCAACTTACAGACCAATCAGAATTAAAGTAGTTCAATCAGTCTTGCCGAATACATGTGATGCAATACTTGTGTAACATTAGAAACATGGCATTTTTTCCCAAGATACATTGTCAGTGGGGAAAAAAGTACAGAACACTAATGCAAAATAAGCTGCAATTCAGGTGTAAAGAAATTAGGATGTCTAAATGTAGCTCTCCATCCAGGTGTAAGATAGCCATGGGAGGATAAAAAAGAACTGGAAAGACTTTTTGTCCCTGGAGGAAAAAAATTGAAGAATGGAGGGTTAGGGATAAAACCTCATTTTCTCTTGTAAAACCCTTGAATTGTTTTTATCATGTGAACATACAATCTATTTAAATAAAATGAAAGAAGGAAGTGAAGAAATGAACAAGGCAAAGTCTGAATAGATTATTGGCCATCTAAGGGATCCTCCCACCTCAGCCTTCCAAGAAGATGGGACAACAGGTGCACAACACCGCGCCTGGCTAAGTTTTAAATGTTTTGGTTGAAAACGGGGATCTCGCTTGCATTGTCCAGACGGGTCAAACTCTCAGCCTCAAGCAATCCTCCCCCTTCGGTGCTGGGAATACAGGTGTGTGCCACTATACCGGCTCGGTCACCTTTGAAGTGTGGCATGTCCCAATGAGGATGAGCAGCCTGGCTTGTCTGCGGATGCTGCAGTCATTTTGGCCTTGTAGACGTGGTCAAAGCTTAATGATTTACTTCCTACATAGGTGCTATTTGGTGTGGAAAGAGTCAGCACAAGGCTGAATTACTTTTCTTAGTGTATTTTGGCTAACTTTCGCTCACTTTCCAAAAGGTCAAGAGTGATGGAAGACCCAGGTCAAGTCCTCTTCCCATAAAAGGACCTTCCAAGTTTCTTAGAAATCATAACTGCTGCCCATTAAATGGCAATAAACACTACTCCTATTACCTATGTGGATATTTTGTCTTTAATATCATTCTTGGATTTGAACCTAGAATTGTTTTTGAGTTATTTTTAAGACATTTTTAGTGCCTAGGTAGGAAATATTCTCTTATTCGAGTTTCAGAAATCATATTTTATGTTGTGAATATGCTTAAAACAAAACGCATCCTTAGCCGCACTAAATTATTTCAAAATTCAGTAAGACAGCTTAAATTTAATGTGTATTAAAATGTATGTGTGACTAAGAATGTGTTGTTTAAAATACACTTGCAACATAAAACCTGATCTCTCCATATCACGTACTATGACTTAAAATAGAGACATATAGTTTAAAAATAGAATGTACTGCTTAAAGCATTTTCTAAAAATACTGAGACTTTTATTTAACACCATCATGCCAAAAAGTAAAACCAACAAAAATGTTTAAGCTGTTTACCTTTACTTGTCCACTTATCATTAGTTCTCTGTGGAAATATTTCCTAACATAATGCATTTTGAGTCTATTTTAGCAAATCTCTTGAGGTGTTTATATTTTAAATTAGAGTTTGTCACTTCTCTTTAACATTTTCTTGAGCAAATAATTCTAAAATGTGTAAACAAAATCAGGTAGATAGGTAGATAGAAAGACAGAAAAATATGTACCTGCAGCTCTCAGATTAAAATCATTACATCTAACTGAAGTGCCGTATAAAAGCAAACGTGTCATTTCATAAGAAAACAATTTTTCTTCTTTGCCAAGGCAATTTCATTTTTTTATTATAAAGTGTTTGGTCGGAAATTAGTTCATGATATGTGTTTTTCAAAAGTCCTAGAGAGGAAATTTATTAAACATAAATACTTCGTTTTTATATCATCTTAGAAATCACTTTAAACCCTCATATTTTAAATCTTCATAGACTATAAGTTAGTGTGAATGAATAAAGTGCAAACTGTATCATGTAATATGGCAATTTCTGCACAGAGCTCTTGTGTTGCCTTTCTGCAAGTGAGCAGGGTTCCAAGCATAACTGATTTGATGTAATTTTGGTTGTTTCAGTCACAAAGCTCTCTTTATGAACTGGGCTCTACGGAAATCTTACTTACGAAATGGGAAGTTAAGTAGATGAATTCAAACCACCTTCCACCTTGGCTCATGGAGACTTTCTTTGGTCAGTTTCACGTGCCTCTGGGAGGCATCCTGAGCTGCCAGTCGTGCAATAAAACCTAGCTATAAATTGCTTGAAATTGACTGCCTTTGAGTCTTCAAGGACTAGATGAATAGGAAAGATTACGGTTTATAACTAGATTATAAGATTCCTATGGGAAATTGAAGATGTAGAAATAACAACCAATAGATGTGGTTTTTTACAACGACTTCTGTAGCTTTCCAAAAATGGCTAAGATACAAAAACTAAACCTAAAATAACCAAGCTGCATCCCTGAAATTGCACTCCATGGCAGGTTTTGAATATTGCATTCTTAAATATGATTGATTTTGAAAATATTAGCATCACAAAATTTATAACACTTATTTTATTAATTTAGTATTATTCTGCTGCTGATTTACTTTTAAAAGATAACAAATTGTCTCATTGTTTTTACAAGGGTCTTACTAAGATATGCTGAGGTCTATGATACTTTTAATAAGAAATCCTATGAAAAATTTTTATAAGTGTTTCAATATGAAAATTAAAAATACACAATATACAAAGTGGCAGTTTAAGAAGAGATTAATCATGTAAATACTCTTTACATATAAGAAAATATTTCTACGTCCTCAGTATCTAAGACATACCATGCAACCAAAAATATTAATTGAATACATATATATATATATATATTTCTTTTTTTTTTTTTTTTTTTTTGAGATGGAGTCTCGTTCTGTCACCCAGGCTGGAGTGCAGAGGCGTGATCTTGGCTGACTGCAAGCTCCACCTCCCGGGTTCACACCATTCTCCTGCCTCAGCCTCCCGAGTAGCTGGGACTACAGGCGCCCACCACCACGCCCGGCTAATTTTTTTGTATTTTTAGTAGAGACGAGGTTCCACCGTGTTAGCCAGGATGGTCTCAATCTCCTGACCTCGTGATCCGCCCTCCTCGGCCTCCCAAAGTGCTGGGATTATAGGCGTGAGCCACCGCACCCAGCCAATTGAATAAATATTTTAAAATTAGGGGAATTATGCAACTTTATAAGAATGTGAAATCTGGGATATTCGACTGTAAAAACTGGCCTATAATATGAGGAAAATACAAATAAATGAAAAGGATATGCTAAATATAGCTGATGTAATATCTAAAATGTATTAGTTAAGAAAAAAATCCAGAGACTAAAGGATCACGCATTTCCAGTTGTGTGACATGAAGACAGGTGCTATGAACTAAGAAAATCCAAAATAGCAAAAAATGCTGGGCTGAAAAGTGGTAGTCATTTTTCAAATGGTTTCGGTGAGGCTACAAGGCCTGGCACAGCTTTCATCTCCCAGCATCCTGTTCTATACACAATTTGGTGTTTAATGTCTAATACCTAAGAAATGAATTTGGTTGGCCCTTTTTAACTCATTTAATAAAATGATGTGACAGTCTGTTTATTCGTTCAATAAATATTTATTGAGAACCTACTAGGCTCTAAATACTGTTACAACATTAAATCATTAAATAAGGTGTTTCTTCAGAAAAACATAATATTTGTCCAAAGCAGAAACAGCTGTAGGAACGCTGAAACAGTGGCGAGATGCTGGAAGAGTAAAGCTGCCTTCAAAGGGGAAGTGACTTTCTTTCTCTTTTCCCCAAGTGGATTCCAGGGGCATCTCTTCCCATAAATATTTACTACCCTAACCAGTCGTGAATCCGGGATCATAAATTAGAAAATTGTGATAAATAACTGCTACTTTTTAAAAAAGAGTGTATTTCTTCAGAAATGTCTAGATATCGTGGAATTATTCAGATGTCTTTATACGGCCTCGTACCACTGAACTTTAATCTCTTTAAAGAATCGAGCTTTGAGAAGGAGAAGGAGAGCTGAAGCACATCTTGGAATAAAAACGATTTCTGACATGCATGGTTTCCCCACATCCCTGCTATGAAATGTTCTCAATAACTATCTTTATACAAGCCAGTGGCTCCACAAGTACGACATGGACGATGTTTAAAGGGTAAAATTCTCCCAGCTGACTGTGGCCTCCTCACTGACGTTTGGCAGTAATGTCAGCTGCAAGTGATCTGATTTTCCCCTTCAGTGTACCAGGGCACATTCTTTATCTCCAAGAATTCAGTCAAGCAACAAGCTTCAGCTTGTTGGGAGAAGAAAAAAAAAAAAGTTAGGTTTTCTTTTTTAAAAAATCATGAAAAATGTTTCCAGACTTGCAATTTGGGAAAAAAATATTTAATCCTTGTTGTAGTTATGAATATAGGAGGACAAACCATTCAGAAACTTGTACTCCTATTCCAGTTCTAGGTCTCATTTTTGGACAATCCAAATTCATTTCCACAATGTCTTGAATTGTGGTTTCCATAAGGTCATTCACATTACTAATAACTTGCCATTCATAAGGTTTTCCAATTGCTCACTGATGAAATTCAGTTTCCAAGAACAATGCAGGATTTTCAGATTTAAAAATGACAATTTTTAAATCCTAGCGAATGCTTTCATTGAATGTATCAATTTTACATTCTGAAATATAGAATATACAGGAGTAAAATATTTTTCTCAAAATATTTCATATTAAAATGGAGGGCAATCTTACAAAATGTAACTCAAAGCCAGAATTCTATAAGTAAATGACAATAAGAATTGACAAAATAGAAAATTCCAATTGTCGTAAAGTTAGAAAGGATACTCAAATGTAGTCATTATTATTATCCTCACTTGTTTGATTAGCCAACATTAAATAGAAATATATCATCTACTTTTACTGAAAAGGCATTGTTTTTTCTGAGGCGTGTACATTGTACCAGCTATTTTGCAATGTAATTAGGCAATGTCTATTATAGTTTACAGAACATACATCTTTTTGATGGAGTCTAGCTCTGTTGCCCAGCTGGAGTACAATCGTTCGATCTTGGCTCACTGCAACCTCCGCCTCCCAGGTTCAAGCACTTCTCCTGCCTCAGCCTCCTGAGTAGCTGGGATTACAGGCGCCCATCACTATGCCCGGCTAATTTTTGTATTTTTAATAGAGACGGGATTTCACCGTGTTAGGCTGGTCTCGAACTCCTGACCTCAGGTGATCCACTAGCCTCAGCCTCCGAAAGTCCTGGGGTTGCAGGTGTGAGCCACCGCGCCTGGCCAGGACATACATCATTGACTTAACATCTTCACTTCTTGGGATGAATGACATAGAAATTAAGTCTTATGTTTTAAAGATTTTTATACAATAGTGTTTAATGCAGCATTATTTATAGTGTTAAAACAATCAGAAACAATGGAAACCCCCTTTAGTGGGGAAATAGTTGAGATGTATACACATCATGAAATATTATATACACAGTCACTAAAAAAGAATGTTAGAATTTCACTCGCTGACAAAGAAGCCTCCCTGATGCACTGGCAAGTGAGAAGAGCAAAAGCCGAGGAGTCAGCATAAAACGTATGATCCCTTCTAATGAAAGGTCAGCATAAAATGTATGAACCCTTCTAAAAGGCAAACGGCAACAGGAAATGTGTATGGGTGTCTCTATTTTGTATATAGCTGTACTGGAATGGAGAAAGCTGTAGTGAATCATACTAAGTTGGTAATCCTGGCTGCCTGGTAAATTCAGTGCCTGAAGGGAGAAAGTTAAAAGACAGTAAATGTAAAGAACATATATATATATTCTTGAAGAGTAAAAGAGAATACAAATCCTAACCATTCCAAGTTTCTTCTTTATTCAGTTTTGCCTTTCAGCGAGCTATTTATTTATTTGTTTAAAATAAAGCTGCTTGCAGGAGGGACTTGCTGAAAACTCTCTGAGGGCGTTGTGGTATGTAGAGCTGGTTCTGTACCTGATCTGACTTATGAGAGTCACGCAGCCCCAGGGTCCCCGAGTCAATAGAAAGAACCTAGCTTTAGATTAAGATTGCTCTAAATATGTGATCTGGTTCTACCCCTTCCTGGATGTGTGAATTTGAACAAGGAAAAAAAGAATAAAGCTGTTTACGATGATAAATGTACATGGAGCAAATTATGTATATGTTATTCGTCTAAAAGTTATTTTTGTGAATATTTTTTCAAAAATCAAATTAAAAAACAGATTCATAGAAAAGAATGACCATCAAAAGTGTTATCATTGACTATAGGTAATTTTTATCTTTTCTTACCGAAAAAATTAATAATGTTTTTTCACAATTATACTTGTGTAATTACACATTTACATTGTTTCCAGTTTTTAACACTATGAATAACACTGCATTAAACATTTTTGTACATAAATTATCATGTCTTATGTTTAAGAGATGAGATGAATTAAAATTATTTTATAAATAATAGAAAAATAAGTTTGAACCCCATTGTTTTAACTTCAGTGATTTGAAGATATCATAAAATTCCCAAAGTAAATTTAATTTTAATATATATAATGAAATTTGAATGTGTATGCTATTTTTAATGTACTAGAGGTATTAAAATATTAAGCTACAGTAAGGCAAATGTTTGATTCACTACCTTAAATTTCTAGTCACATAAGATCCTTCTGAAAAACACTGAGTCTCTGCGAGCTGGATGAAAGTGTAGAGCCACTAAGGGCTAAATCATGTGTACGTTTCTAAAGTTGCAGGTATGTTACGAGAGTTTATTCATCCACTTTTTGTTTTAATATTCAAGACTTTGTTCAGATATAACAAATAGGATATGTGTATCTGTGAGAAGAACAGGTATCCATGCATCTTCATGGATGAAATAAGAATCTCTTTTTCTGTATTAATTTGTCTACTATCTTGATGAACATATATATATGAAGGAATGATCTTTTTCTTGAGACGGAGTCTGGCTCTGTCACCCAGGCTGGAGTACAGTGGCGAGATCTCTGCTCGCTGCAACCTCCATCTCCCAGGTTCAAGCAATTCTCCTGCCTCAGCCTCCCAAGTAGCTGGAACTACAGGAGCACGCCACCATGCGCAGCTAATTTTTGTATTTTTATGAAAGATTGGGTTTCACCATATTGCCCAGGCTGGTTTCGAACTCCTGACCCCTTGATCCACCTGCCTCTGCCTCCCAAAGTGCTGGGATTACAGGCATGAGCTACGGTGCCCAGCCACGGAATGACCTTTTTAAATTACATCCAACAAAATAGGAGTGCCACCTGATTTTTATGAAACCATCATCGAACAGGAAGACTCTCCCTTTTAGTACAAATGTTGTGTTGTGCATTCTGGAATTAGGATGCAAGCATTTTGCTTGGACAGCACGAGAACTTCTCTGGACAGTTCAATGTCTGGGCCACAACTACCAGGCATGACAACTTCTGAAACAGCCAGAAAATGCCTGTCAAAAGGAGAGCCTGCCGGAGTTGAGAAAAGTGACTGCCTTTCTCATCTACGCTCATTTATTTTGTTTGCTGTCCCACATCATACTTCACTGAAAGGCAAAACTGAATAAAGAAGTAATGTGGAATGGTTGGGAATTTTATTGCCTTTTACTCTTCAGGAATATTTTTTCTGAATACATGGAGTTGAAGGGAGTGTTGGATGGTGAGGGGTTTGGAAAACAGGAATGACAAAGACTGTTCTACAGTTGTATAAAGAAGAAGAGAACGTAGAGTAGAGAATTTCATGATACATATAATTGAGCAAGCTACAAATCAGCACATTTGTAGACAGACTTAGAAATTTAGAGAGACTTAGAAAAATCAGTCTCACATCTAGACAGTATTCCTTCTTCCTGTATTTTGTGTGTCTGCTTTTGAGTGATTTTTCTTTTAATCTAGGGGCTGAGGTTGTTGAGTTTCTAATAGAGACCATGTTTGCTTGGCTCCTTCATAATCTATGGAAAACGTGGGCTGTTGTAAACTTTAATTCCACCCAACAGGGCCTCAAGTCTCCAGTCAGCCCTTAAAATATTGACCAGGAATAAAATACAAATAAAAAGATCAATTGTTTTGGCTGTGTTAACAAAGCCATTTATTCTCAAAAAAGAAAGTAAAATGTTGTTTTTCTGTGCTCCAGCCATGCTGTGTGATTGGTTTTTATCTCACTATCACATGCACTGCGCGAGGAGCAAATTGGTACCCACATGTTTAAAGAAATTCTGTTTAGCTACTAAAACAGTTTACCTTGAAAACTAGTACAATAAATCTGTGTGAAAAGATATCTGTCATGGCATCAGAATGTTCCCTTCCCGCTACTTTCCCCAAATGTTGCATTGCTAGTAGGGCTGAGGGTGCAGACTCCCCTCTCCACTCCCCAATCCATATGCCCCCCATACACATCATCACTCTCTAGTGGGAATAGTTTATGGCTAGTAGCACTTTCTTCCAGATGGAGCAGACAAAGCTGTTTACAATTAGTGTAATTACCCCCAGAAATTTAGACAGACAGAAGGAGTCTCTGTAGAGTTATAAGAGAAAACCAAACTATTTTTTCTATACTTACGCTCAACCTGCAACACTGAATACTTCATGTCTGGTCACCAAAAGGAATGTATGAATTTTTCCCCATTAACAACCAATCAGTTAATTCTCCAGCAGACATCGGCAGGGTGTCCTACAATGTAACTCAATGCTGACACTATTTACCTGAAAGTAGCCTCAGATCCCACAGGTGGAGGGCTCAGTCCCCAAGACTGTCTCCCACTTCAAATGACAGTTGTAAGCGCCTGGTTGTGATCTGTGCTTCTGACTGAGTGGCTGTAAATTGGGGTCTCCACAATCCCCTCTTTGGTTCGATTAATTTGCTAGGACAGCTCACAGAATTCGGGGAAACACATTACTGATGTTTACCAGTTTATTGCAAAGGATATTACAAAGTCTGCAGAACAGTGTGATGGGAAAATGCATAGGCAAGGTACTCGGGAGGAGGTGTGGAGCTTCTGTGTTCTCTCTGAGTACAGCACCCTTCAGACGCTTCCCTGCGTGCAGCTGTTCAGAAGCTCTCTGAACTCAGTCCTCTGGGGTTTTATGGAGACTTCATTACATAGGCATGATTGATTGTATCATTGCCCACTGGTGACCAAGTCAACTTTCAGCCCTCTTTCTCACCTGGAGGTTGGGGGCGGGGCTGAAAATCCCGACCACTAATCAGTCCTTGGTCTTTCTGGTGACTGTGCCCCATCTTGATGTTAGTTAGGGATCCTTAACCACCAGTCATCTCGTTAGCATACAAAGGACACTGTTGTGTCTCTGGAGATTCCAAGGGTTTTAAGAGCCATGTGCCAGGAACCAGGGGCAGAGACCAGACATATACTTATTATCACGATAACCACAGAGTCTCATCCTTCAATTAATGACATCAGGTTATGCTTTCTCTAGTATAGGACTAAGACATGTTAACAAGGCGAATGAATGGACTCTTCTTACATGAGATTAGACTGTTTTGTCTTCGAGAAAAATATATTCGACATTTGCTGGTTGCATTGACAGCATCTTTAGACATTCCTGTCTAGGTGGTACTAACAGTGACCCCCTCAGTGCACGGCAAAAAGTGTCTATTTGTCACCTTCATCACTAATCGTTGGCCTAACTGTACAGCACGCGTGACAGACATGCTCCACAGCCACTGAGCCGATAGCCCCAGCGGAAGCCTGCGGAGTGAGCAGGCTTGCCTCATCTGCAGCAAAGGGTGGCAGAGGGCAGGAGGCTGGCATTCCACCCTGGGGGGTCCTGACTCGTGACACGCAATAATGACGTGACCAGCCATTTGTCACTAATACTATTTAAAGTGCTAAAATTTGCAAACACTTTATTTTTTAATTATTAATTACAGACATGCAAAGGTATGAAAATGACTATGAAGTAATTCACAGTCACTAGCATTACAACATTTTGGGTGGTGGGGGGAGGGTAGAGGAAGAGGAAAGGGAAGAGTCTGAGGAAGCAGCGAGAGGATCATGCCCAAACCTAGGAAATTCGGAAGAGGTTCGCCCCTGTGCTAAGGCCATCTTTTGTGTATGTTGAGGTTATGATGAGGTTAAGAAAACAGGTGTGAGGATTGCTGATGCAGAGGAAAATGGACAACAGAGCTTTGAAAACGGAATTCTATGCAAAGTCGAAGCTGGGTTCTTTCCTTTGTTATATGTTCTGTGCAAAAAACAAATCCCCTAAGAGGGCAGGGAAGGGCAGTGAGGATTGTCTCTGCACTTGGGAACTATCGATGTACCTCAGAGATGTGGGAGGCCATAGCAGTGTTGAGGGCTTGGCTCCCTGCCTGTCCTGCTGATCAATCCAACCAGGAACGCAAACAGAGCAGAGACCTTCGTTTATGTGAATAAAATTCGCATAAAAGTCCAGGAATGAAATTCTCAGCAGAGGGGCCGACATACGAAAAAGCACAAAAGTGGAATTCAACACCATATATTTTGAGAACTCCAAGCAGTGGATATTTCAGTTCTGAGAGAATGAATGCCACATGTAAGTTTTATATGGAGAAAGGAAGTAAGGGTGCATTACAAGATGCATAAGACTAGGCAGGTGTGAGGCATTGCTACTCCCACTGTCTAAGAGCTGCTGTGAAGGCCGCAGGAAAGAACGCATGTAGAGTTACTTTGTAAACTTAAAATGCAGCTTACAAATAATAATCAACAGAAGATATTTTGCACAAGGTACATTGTTTCAAACTAGAGAAGAATATAAAAATATAACCATGCGGGCCAGGCGTGGTGGCTGACACCTGTAATCCCAGCACTTTGGGAGGCCGAGGTGGGTGGATCATGTGGTCATGAGTTAGAGACCAACCTGACCAACATGGTGGAACCCTGTCTTTACTAAAAATACAAAAATTAGCTGGACGTGGTGGTGCGCACCTGTAATACCAGCTACTCAGGAGGCTAAGTCAGGATAATAGCTTGAACTCAGGAGGTGGAGGTTGCAGTGAGCTGAGGTCACACCACTGCACTCCAGCCTGGGTGACAGAGCAAGACTCCATCTCAAAAATATATATATATATATATATATATATATATATGTGTGTGTGTGTGTGTGTTTAAAACCATGTGACACTTTTTTTAATCTATATTATTGGAACTCTTTCTTTTAAATGGAGAATTATAAATGGGTTTCTTTTTTACTTAGGGTATAATACATTTTAATATCTATTAAAAAGATTGTCTATTCGTTCGTTGGACATGGCCAATTAGACCATTGGTTTCCAGCTTGGCTATACAAAGAATTATCTGGGACACTTTTGAAAATACAGATTTCATCCCAAACCCAGGCTAGCGAATGAGAATATCTGTCTTTAGAACCTTCATTCTCTGAGATTTTTGCAAAGTGCTCAGCTGGGCTAGAGGTAGTCCTCTCTGCCCTGGCCTGTGATCTGCACTGGGTCACCACTGAATCCACAAAGCCATAGCCAGGGTATATTAGACAGCCATTTGGAACCTGCCTGCTTTTTTTCTAAAACATGCCTTTTGATATCCTAAGATATCTTCCTAGTTCTTGCCGTCATCACATCTCATCTCACTACTTCTGAAATATTGCCATTATCCCTGATTCGATTTTTAAAATTCAGATTATTTTTTCCTAGATATTCAAGGTACTAAGCTCTTTTCATAATTGTAACACATATTAAAAGACCTGAGTCATATAAGCAAGGTCATAAGGCAGTAACAGAGTAGAAAATAATGATGATGACAATTGGAAAAAAGGAAGTAAAGTTAATATTATTTGAAGACAATATTGTTGTTTACTTTGAAAAACCAAGAGAATTAATGGAAACTTGTGCATACCAGGGAGGATATATTTTCTGTATTGTCATTGTAGCCACCAAATTGGGTTCTGGCACGATTTTATTTTTTAATTTTATTTATTACTGTTATTTTTTGAGACGGAGTCGCGCTCTGTCACCCAGGCTGGAGTGCAGCGGCGCGATCTCCACTCACTGCAAGCTCAGACTCCCAGGTTCACGCCATTCTCCTGCATCAGCCTCCCGAGCAGATGGGACTACAGGCACCCGCCACCACGCCTGGCTAATTTTTTGTATTTTTGGTAGAGACAGAGTTTCACCGTGTCAGCTAGGATGGTCTCGATCTCCTGACCTCGTGATCTGCCCGCCTCGGCCTCCCAAAGTGCTGGGACTACAGGCGTGAGCCACCGCGCCCGGCCAAGCACTATTTTATTTTTGAAACATAGGCATGGGATGTTCTAAAATAAGGGAAACATTAAATACAAATGAATCTCATCATTAATTTGGAGCTATGCTAAGGAATTTACACTTGAGGGAATCAAGCCTCAGAGAGGTTAAGCAATTTGCCAAACATCAAAAAGCCAGTGAGCGGCTGAGCCATGATTTGAACCCAAGTCTGACTGACCTCAAGCTCATTCTGAAAGCACAAAGCTGGGGCTTGCTGGAAAACAACTTGCTTCACTTTCCAACTGCTTTATTATTTTTAATATATTTTTAAAAAATGTGTGCTGTTCAATCCAATAGAATGGCTATTATAAGTTCTAATAAAAATTAATAAAAAACATTTTATAAGACTCAGCAAATTCTTATAATGCAGCTGAAACCCTATTTCTGTCCAAACTTGTTTATAATTTGTTTTTGGTTTTTTTTTGAGACGGTGTTTCACTCTTGTTGCTCAGGCTGGAGTGCAGTGGCACGATCTCAGCTCACTGCAACTTCCACCTCCCGTGTTCAAGCCATTCTCCTGCCTCAGCCTCCGGAGTAGCTGGGATTACAGGTGCCCGCCACCACTGGCTAATTTTTGTATTTTTAGTAGAGATGGGTTTTTCCATGTTGGCCAGGCTGGTCTTGAACTCCTGACCTCAGGTGATCCGACTTCCTCGGCCTCCCAAAGTGATGGGATTACAGGTGTGAGCCACTGCACCTGGCCCTTATGATTTTTAATAATGGACTAATATATTATTATTATCATTATTATTATCATTATTGGAGACAGGGTCTCACTCTGTAACCCAGGATGGAGTGCAGTGGAGCTATCTCATCTGACTGCAGCCTCGACTTCCTGGGTTCAAGCCATCTCCAGCCTCAACTTCCAGAGTAGCTGGACTACAGGTGCACACCACCACACCAGGCTAATTTTTGTATTTTTTGTAGGGATGGTGTTTCTCCATGTTGACCAGGCTAGTCTTCAACTCCTGGGCTCAAGCAATCTGCCTACCTCAGCTTCCCAAAGTGCTGGCATTACAGGTGTGAGCCACCACATCCAGCCTACTATATTGTTTTTAATCTTATTAAAACTTTGACCCACAATATGCCTCATAGTGAATTCAGGAAATAAAAATAATAACACTTGGACCTAGGAAATAACCCTTCCTACTGTTACTTTCCTTTGCATCATGATGAGATACTTTTTTTTGCTCTTAACGTAATGAATTTTAAACATGCCTATGCATTCGTGCAGTGATTTCTAATAATGCTTGCTGCATCAGTTATTTACTGCTGTGTAACAAACTGCACCAAAACCACCATGTTTTATTTCTGCTAACTCTGTAGGTAAACAGGGCATTTGTTCTGCTCACCTGCCCTGGGCTGACTGCAGTGGGACAGGCTGCAGGCAGCACGGCTGGAAGTGAAGGTCTGAGTGGGCGGCTCTCATATTTCTGAGCCTAAGTTTCAAGGCTGAAATGACTGAGACAGCTAGGTGTCTCTCTCCATGTGGTCTTCATTCTAGGCTTCTTCACACAGTGTCAGAAACATTCCAAGAAAATAATATTGGAAGCCACAGGCATCCTGAGTCCAGGGCTTAGAAGGCATGCAATATTACAGATTATTTGATTACAGGAAATCACAAGCTCCATCCAAGTTAAGAGACAGGGAAGTATTTTTCACCTCTTAATAGGAGCTGAAATGGAGTTACAGTCACAGTTAAGGAACCACACTTGAAATAGCCAGATTATCCACATACTGCAGGGGTGAGACCCATAATAACATGAGAGGCAGAGTCATCACACTTGAAACAGTCAAATTATCCACATACTGCAGGGGTGAGACCCATAATAACATGAGAGGCAGAGTCATCACACTTGAAACAGTCAAATTATCCACATACTGCAGGGGTGAGACCCATAATAACATGAGAGGCAGAGTCATGCAGAAAAAAGAGCATAAAACGTGGAGGGCAAACGAATGGCATCAAGCCCCAATTTCCCCACTAGATACGCATTTGTAAGCAGTGACTTCAACTGCGTGTGGCTTAAACCTTATTCACCTCAGCTGTACAATAAAGGGGCCATTCCTCCCTCACAGCATAGTCGTGATGATTAGGTTCCGTTGCATGCACAGAAAGAATTGTAGAGGATTAAGTACTGAGTTAATATGACATATTCTATAAATAACAAGGTGAGAATTGTTTATTTCCCTAGACGGCGTCTCAGGACATCTTAGGAAGAGCCCTGTTAAGGTTTGTGTGAAACATTTTCATGAGCCACAGGAGGCGAGAGTGAGATTTTATGCAAATATTCAGATATTAAAAAGTGATTGCTAGATCCTGTATATTACTACTAATAAAGAACAAAGTGGTCAGGCAAAATGGTCCATGAAAACGTAAATGTGTGGTAATTCACATAAATTATGACGAGAGCTTTAGACGCACGCAGGCTGTAAGGAGGGTGCTCCAAGCCGAATTTACCTCTTTTCCAAAGAACAAGGATTTAGCAGCAGATTGCTAGATTACGTCCAAACAAATCAGAGAAAAACTTGCCCAATTGCTTTGTGATTAAATTTCAAACAATTGATTCAGTTAAACAAGAGGCTAGAACTTCAATTTCCCTTTTGAGTTAAGTTTATTGTTGCTTTTATTAGAAAACAAATGGTACAAACTTTCTGGACCATAGAAGATCAGCAGTATTTTTTCCTTCCCTGGCAGAACTGAGAATAAAGGTGCAGCTTGGAAAACAGCCCAACTTACTTAACCTTCAGAAGACCAGATGCACGTGTATAACATTAATGCTGCTGAAATTTGCAGTTGTCACTGTTTCTGAGACAGGTCTCACTCACTGCTGACATTGAGTTACAGAGCAATGAGGCTTGCAAAGAAAGGCAAATACAAGTTTTATTGGTACAAAGACAGCGACATTGCAGACTAATGACTTCTGTCCCTTTAAATTATGGCTGGCAGGGATTTGCTACAGCAAGGCAATCTCTTTCCAATAGCCCATCCAGATCCCCTCAACTGCCATAAGCGTCAGCACCCACGTGCCCCCTGCCTGGGCCATCTCTCTGGGGACAATGTCCATGCCTCTGACTTTGGGCTACGTTTTCACTTGAAACATGACAAGGTTTACAGGGGATTGGTGACTTCTTATCTTTTTATTACATTTGTTTTTAGGGAAAATCTGTGAGCCTTTCTCAAAACCTAATGGAGGATGTAAATTTCTCACTGGTCTCAGACCACAGATTATAAATGGATTTATACTTAGTGCAGCTCTGTCCTCACCCAGCGCCCTCCCGGTTCCAGGCATTCCATTTGTCACATGGACCGTTCCCCCACCGAAGCACCCTGATTTCCATTCTTTCACATTTTTACAGAGTCTTCCCCTAAATTCTTTAATTTCTATATAATTTATCTCCTTCATTGGGAGTTACCTCAGGTTGTAACTCAAATAGAAGATTAAACTATTTTAAAACAATGTCTGAGTGGCTAATGTTGATACATCTTTTTTGTTTGTTTGTTTTTTAATCAGGGTCCATTCTGCCACCCAGGCTGGAGTGCAGTAGCACCATCCGGCTCACAGCAGGCTCAACCTCCTAGTCTCAAGTGATTCTCCCGCCTCAGCCTCTGAGGTAGCTGGAACTACAGGCCTCTACCGCCATGCCCGATTAATTTTTAAAAAATTATTTTTAGAGATGGGGGTCTCACTATGTTGCCCAGGCTGGTCTCGAGCTTCTGGGCTCTCTCCTTAGCCTCTAAAGTGCTGCGATTACAGGCGTGCGCCACTACACCCTGCCTGAGGTCAATTTTCTTTTTTTTTTTTTTTGAGACGGAGTCTCGCTGTCGCCCAGGCTGGAGTGCGGTGGCGCCATCTTGGCTCCCTGCAAGCTCCGCCTCCCGGGTTCCCGCCATTCTCCCGCCTCAGCCTCCCGAGTAGCTGGGACTACAGGCGCCCGCCACCACGCCCGGCTAATTTTTTGTATTTTTAGTAGAGACGGGGTTTCACCGTGTTAGCCAGGATGGTCTCGATCTCCTGACCTCGTGATCCGCCCGCCTCGGCCTCCCAAAGTGCTGGGATCACAGGCGTGAGCCACCGCGCCCGGCCATGATGTCAATTTTTAAAATAAACTTCCAAACCTTAACCTAGCATTCACAAAACAAACCTTCAAGCATTTCCCCAAATGAAGAAGGAGGTGTGGCAAGCGGCCGCATTCCCATTCATGTCCGCATCATGAACTGTCGAGGCCTCCGCTTCCCCGCTTGGGATTTGTACAGCTCCCGGGATTGTGGGCGCACGTGTTCTGGGCAGAAGCCCCGTGTGTCACTCTCTTGCCCGGGCTTTCTCTGCCTGATATCCGCTCCTCATGAAGCTACTCAACAGGCACAGGCTCAGTGAGGTTTCTGCAAGGAGCGGCCCTGGTGCGACAGCCACCGTCAGTGCCCAGGGTGCGAGCCCCTGTGCCTGTGACACCGCCCCTGCCTGGGCCTGGGTCTTCCTTCATTACCAGGGTGGGCCCAGCGTTACTTACACCAGAGTCCCACAGTCACCTGCACAAACGAGGCTTCACCCTCAGGCCCTCGGCTCCCAATCTCTTACAGGCAACTGAAAAGAAAAATAGACATCTCAAAAATACACAACAGTTTTCAGACCCAGAACAAGACCAATCCTTATTTATAAGAAAATAAAAGCTCTCTCAAGGGTACAAAATAAAATGCAGCTCAGCATGATACACAGACAACGTTTTCCATTATTATATAGAGCAATATTTTCCTTGGGACCAGAGCATTTCAGAGCGATGTCTTTCTTACTGTGGTCTCTAAGGTATATTTGCATAACTGAAGATCTGGTCCTGGGCACATCCCTCTAATCCCTCAAAGGCAGAATCTGCAGAACTGTCTTCCAGCCTTTGTTCCTTAGAAGACAGGAATCTGCGTTTTTCTTTATCTTCCATATCAACGTTTCAAAAATCTCAAGGCCAAGTTGCAGCCGGAACTCAAGCTCAGTGAACTGGGAGTGAGCTGCTTTTGACTTCAGCAACCTCTGCAAAGAGAAAGTAGGTTACCTGGAAGTGGAAAGGCTTAAGAGAACAACACACGATACTGTATTGGGAGGCCTCACTGCATGCTTTTACGTCTTCCCAACAACTGTGAATGGCAGCCTCTGGACCACACAGTGTACTGCTGAGTGCTGAGGACAGAGTCGTCTTCACCAGTGTGAAAACAGGGTGCAGTTAGAAAGTACGGAATCCGCCCTCTTCCAGTCCAGAAACATCTTTAGCACCTCTCGCTTTTCCAGCTTCTCCAGCTGCTGCGGGGACTCAGCAGCTCTAACACTTCCCTGCTGCCTACTGCTGCCAGGAAAGTGACTGCAGTATCCATTCAGGGTAACTGGCATAATTAACCACATTCATTTGCCTCTGTTCTCCCATCCCCATCGTGCCGAATTCAGATATTGAACTCATGTTTTTACTTAAGAAATATGTGATTATCTTTTGTTAAAATACAACCATATTCAGAGTACGAGCGTCTGTGCATTTGTGTGCTAACTCTCAGAGATTCAACTAGGATTCTTAGCTAACTATTCATACACACACAAAAAATTTAAAGAACTTTTTGCTACGTTCTTTCTCTTTGGCCTTAAAATTGTATGATATGAAGCACTTTCACATGAATACATTAAATTAGTGTATTCAGAGAAAAGGCTTTGCTTTGTTTTTGCTTCTCTTGGTAGGTCTTTTTGATGATGCTCATTGCACAGGGCAGGGGACTGTTTAGAGCGCTGGAAGTTGACACGGGAGCCGCCAAGATCCTAATGCTGTGTAGTTGTTGAGACATTCAGCTGTTAGTGGACAGAGCATTCAACAGAGTTAAGTAGAACTAAGTGCCTTCCTTTTTAATATAATGACTGAAAGAAGAGAAAAAAAGCACAAGATAAAAGAGCAAATCTGCATGTCACCAACCAAAAACAATGGAGGTAGCATATTTCCAAGGAGTTGAAATGCTTCTTTTATATTTTTTCAATTTATAAAGAATAGAAATTTATTATTTATGGTTCTGGAGGCTGGAAGGTCCAAGGTGCCAGCAGATTTGGCAATTCTGATTCCAAGATGACACTTTGCACACTGCATGCTTTAGAGGGGGGGAACACTGTTCCTCACATGGCAGAAGAGTAGAAGGGCAAGGAGAGGGTAAGAGAAGGCAAGAGGGGGCCAGACTCTACCAGTCCCATCCATGAGGGTGGAGCCATGGCCTAATCACCTCCCAAAGGTCCCACCTCCTAATATCATTACAATGGCAATTCAATTTTTAATAAATATCATATATTTAGCACATAGAAATGGAAGTACTTGGTGTTATGAAAAAACAGATGCATAGATGGATAACCTCCCTCTCTCCTCTATTTTTCTTCCCCCATTTTTTATTTATTTATTTATTTATTTATTTATTTATTTATTTATTTGCTTTAAGTTCTGGGATACATGTGCAGAATGTGCAGGTTTGTTACATAGGTATGCATGTGCCATGGTGGTTTGCTGCACCTGTCAACCCGTCATCTAGTTTTAAGCCCCGCGTGCTTTAGGTATTTGTCCTAATGCTCTCCCTCCCCTTGCCCCCAGTCCCTGAGAGGCCCTGGTGTGTGATGTTCCCCTCCCTGTGTCCATGTGTTCTCATTGTTCAGTCCCACTTATGAGTGAGAACACGCAGTGTTTGGTTTTCTGTTCCTGTGTTAGTGTGCTGAGAATGATGGTTTCCAGCTTCATCCATGTCCCTGCAAAGGACATGAGCTCATCCTTTTTTATGGCTGCATAGTATTCCGTGATGTATATGTGCCACATTTTCTTTATCCAGTCTATCATTGATGGGCATTTGGGTTGGTTCCAAGTGTTTGCTATTGTAAATGATGCTGCAGTAAACATATGTGTGCATGTGTCTTTATAGTAGGATGATTTATAATCCTTTGGGTATATTCCCAGTAATGGGGTTGCTGGGTCAAATGGTATTTCTGCTTCTAGATCCTTGAGGAATCACCACACTATCTTCCATAATGGTTGAACTAATTTACAGTCCCACCAACAGTGTAGAGGCATTCCTATTTCTCCACAGCCTCACCAGCATCTATTGTTTCAGGACTTTTTAATAATTGCCATTCTGACTGGTGTGAGATGGTGTCTCGTTGTGGTTTTGATTTGCATTTCTCTAATGATCAGTAATGTTGAGCTTTTTTTCATATGCTTGTTGGCCGCATAAGTGTCTTCTTTTGAGAAGTGTCTGTTCATATCCTTTGCCCACTTGTTGATGGTGTTGTTTTTTTCTTGTAAATTTGTTTCAGTCTTTGTAGATTCTGGATATTAGACTTTTGTCAGATGGGTAGACTGCAAAAATTTTCTCCCATTCTGTAGGTTGCCTTTTCACTCTGATGCTAGTTTCTTTTGCTGCACAGAAGCTCTTTAGTTTAATTAGATCCCACTTGTCAATTTTGGCTTTTGTTGCCATTGCTTTTGGTGTTTTAGTCATAAAGACTTTGCCCATGCCTATGTCCTGAATGGTATTGCCTAGGTTTTCTTCTAGGGTTTTTATGCTTTTACATGTAAGTCTTTAATCTATCTTGAGTTAATTTTTGTATAAGGTGTAAGGAAGGGGTCTGGTTTCAGTTTTCTGCATATGGCTAGCCAGTTTTCCCAACACCATTTATTATTAAATAGGAAATCCTTTCCCCATTGCTTGTTTTTGTCGGGTTTATTGAAGATCAGATGGTTGTAGATAGATGTGTGGTGTTATTGCTGAGGTCTTTGTTCTGTTCCATTGGTCTATATATCTGTTTTGGTACCAGTACCATGTTATTTTGGTTACTGTAGCCTTGTAGTATAGTTTGAAGTCAGGTAGCATGATGCTTCCAGCTTCGTTCTTTTTGCTTAAGATTTTCTTGGCTATATGGGCTCTTTTTTTGGTTCCATATGAGATTTCAAGTAGTTTTTCTAATTCTGTGAAGAAAGTCAATGGTAGCTTGATGGGAATAGCATTGAATCTATAAATTACTTTGGGCAGTATGGCCGTTTTCATCATATTGATCCTTAACCTCCATGAGCATGGAATTTTTCTTCCATTTGTCTGTGTCCTCTCTTATTTCCTTGAGCAGTGGTCTGTAGTTCTCCTTGAAGAGGTCCTTCATGTCCCTTGTAAGTTATATTCCTAGGTATTTTATTTTCTTTGTAGCAATTATGAATGGGAATTCACTCATGACTTGGCTCTCTGTTTGTCTATGATTGACGTATAAGAATGCTTGTTATTTTTGCAGATCGATTTTGTATCCTAAGACTTTGCTGAAGTTCTTTATCAGCTTAAGGAGGTTTTGGGCTGAGACGATGGGGTTTTCTAAATACACAATTATGTCATCTGCAAACAGAGACAATTTGACTTCCTCTCTTCCTATTTGAATATCTTTTATTTCTTTCTCTTGTCTGACTGCCCTAGCCAGAACTTCCAATACTATGTTGAATAGGAGTGGTGAGAGAGGGCATCCTTGTCTTGTGCCAGTTTTCAAAGGGAATGCTTCCAGCTTTTGCACATTCAGTATGATATTGGCTGTGGATTTGTCATAAATAGCTCTTATTATTTTGAGATATGTTCCATCAATGCTTAGTTTATTGAGAGCTTTTAATATGAAGGGATGTTGAATTTTATTGAAGGCCTTTTGTGCATCTATTCAGATAATCATGTAGTTTTTGTCATTGTTTCTGTTTATGTGATGTATTACATTAATTGATTTGCATATGTTGAACCAGCCTTGCCTCCCAGGGATGAAGATGACTTGATCTTGGTGGGTAAGCTTTTTGATGTGTTTCTGGATTCAATTTGCCAGTATTTTATTGAGGATTTTTCATCGATGTTCATCATGGATATTGGCCTGAAGTTTTCTTTCCTTGTTGTGTCTCTGCCAGATTTTGGTAACAGGATGATGCTGGCCTCATAAAATGAGTTAGGGAGGAGTCCCTCTTTTTTTATTGTTTGTAATAGTTTCAGAAGGAATGGTACCAGCTCTTCTTTGTACCTCTGGTAGAATTTGGCTGTGAATCTGTCCTGTCCTGGGCTTTTTGTGGTTGGTAGGCTATTATTTACTCCCTCAATTTCAGAACTGATTATTGGTCTCTTCAGGGATTTGACTTCTTCCCGGTTTAGTCTTGGGAGGATGTATGTGTCCAGGAATTTATCCATTTCTTCTAGATTTTCTAATTTATTTGGGTACAGGTGTTTATAGTATTCTCTAATGGTAGTTTCTATTTCTGTGGCATCAGTGGTGATAGCCTCTTTATCATTTTTTTATTGTGTCTATTTGATTCCTCTCCCTTTTCATCTTCATTAGTCTGGCTGGTGGTCTATCTTTTTCTTTCCCCCCAAAAAAACCAGCTCCTGGATTCACTGATTTTTGAAGGGCTTTTCGTGTCTCTATCTCCTTCAGTTCTGCTCCAATCTTAGTTATTTCTTGTCTTCTGCTAGCTTTTGCATTTGTTGGCTCTTGCTTCTCTAGTTCTTTTAATTGTGATGTTAGGGTGTTAACTTGAGATCTTTCCAGCTTTCTGATATGGGCATTTAGTGCTATAAATTTCCCTCTTAACACTGCTTTAGCTGTGTCCCAGAGATTCTGATATGTTGTCTCTTTGTTATCACTGGTTTCAAAGAACTTATTTTTTCTCCCTTAATTTCATTATTTATACGGTAGTCATTCAGGAGCAGGTTGTTCAATTTCCAAGTAGTTGTGTGGTTTTGAGTGAGTTTCTTAATCCTGAGTTCTAATTTGATTGCACTGTGGTCTGAGAGGCTGTTCGTTATGATTTCCATTCATTTGCGTTTGCCAAGGAGTGTTTTTCTTCCAATTATGTGGTCAATTTTAGAATAAGTGCCATGTGGGACTGAGAAAAATGTATATTCTGTTGATTTGGGATGCAGAGTTCTGTAGGTGTCTATTAGGCCCACTTGATCCAGAGCTGAGTCTAAGTCCTGAGTATCCTTGTTAATTTTCTGTCTTGTTGATCTGTCTAATATTGACAGTGGGGTATCAAAGTCTCCCACTATTATTGTGTGGGAGTGTAAGTCTCTTTATAGATCTCTAAGAACTTGTGTTATGAATCTGGGTGCTCCTGTTTTGGGAGCATATATATTTAGGATAGTTAGCTCTTCTTGTTGATCTCTAAGATTTGTAGGTATCTTTGTAGATCTCTAAGAACTTGTTTTATAAATCTGAGTGCTCCTGTATTGGGTGCATATATATTTAGGATAGTTAGCTCTCCTTGTTGATCTCTAAGATTTGAAGATATCTTTATAGATCTCTAAGAACTTGTTTTATGAATCTGGGTGCCCCTGTATTGGGTGCATATGTATTTAGGATAGTTAGCTCTTCTTCTTTAATTGATCCCTTTACCATTATGTAATACCCTTCTTTGTCTTTTTTCATCTTTGTTGGTTTAAAGTCTGTTTTATCAGAGACCAGGATTGCAACCCCTGCTTTTTTTTGCTTTCCATTTGCTTGGTAAATATTCCTCCATCCCTTTATTTTGAGCCAATGTGTGTCTTTTCACGTTAGATGGGTCTCCAGAATACAACACACCGATGGGTCTTGACGCTTTATCTAATTTGCCAGTGTCTTAATTGGGGCATTTAGCCCATTTACATTTAAGGCTAATATTGTTATGTGTGAATTTGGGCCTGTAATCATGATGCTAGCTGGTTATTTTGCACATTAGTTGATGCAGTTTCTTTGTAGTGTCATTGTCTTTATATTTTGGTGTGTTTTTGTGGTGTCTGGTACTGGTTTTTCCTTTCCATATTTAGTGCTTCCTTCGGGAGCTCTTGTAAGGCAGGCCTGATGTTGACAAAATCCCTCAGCATTTGCTTGTCTGGAAAGGAATTTATTCCTCCTTCACTTATGAAACTTAGTTTGGCTGGATATGAAATTCTGGGTTGAAAATTCTTTCCTTTAAGAATGTTGAATATTGGCCCCCACTCTCTTCTGGCTTACAGGGTTTCTTCAGCGAGATACACTGTTAGTCTGATGGGCTTTCTTTCATAAGTGACCCAACCTTTCTCTCTGGCTGAGCTTAAAATTTTTTCCTTCATTTCAACCTTGGAGAATCTGATGATTATGTGTCTTGAGGTTGATCTTCTCATAGAGTATCTTAGTCGTGTTGTGTGTATTTCCTGAAATCAAATGTTGGCCTGTCTTGTTAGGCTGGGGACATTCTCCTGGATAATATCCTGAAGTGTGTTTCTCAACTTGGCTCCATTCTCCCCATCACTTTCAGGTAATCCAATCAAACACAGGCTTGGTCTTTTCACCTAGTCCCATATTTCTTGGAGGCTTTGTTTGTTCCTTTTCATTCTTTTTTCTGTAATCTAGTCTGCACACTTTATTTCAGCAAGGTCATCTTCAATCTCTAATATCCTTTCTTCTGCTTGATTGATTCAGCTGCTGACACTTGTGTATGCTTCACGAAGTTCTCGTGCTGTGCTTTTTAGCTCCATCAGGTCATTTATCTTCCTCTATGAACTGATTACTCTAGTTAGTAGTTCCTGTAACTTTTTATCAAGGTTCTTAGCTTCCTTGCATTGGATTAGAACATGCTCCTTTAGCTCAGAGGAGTTTGTTATTACCCACCTTCTAAAGCCTACTGCTAACAATTCATCAATCTCATTGTCTGTCCAGTTTTGCACCCTTGCTGGAGAACAGTTGCGATCATTTGGAGGAAAAGAGGCATTCTAGCTTTTGGAATTTTCAGCGTTTTTGCACTGGTTTTTCATCATCTTCATGGATTTATCTACCTTTGATATTTGAGGCTAATGACCATTGGATGGGGTTTTTGTGTGGGTTCTTTTTTGTTGATGTTGTTGTTGTTGTTACTTTCTGTTTGTTAGTTTTTACTTCTAACAGTCAGTCGCCTCTTCTGCAGGTCTGCTGGAGTTTGCTGGAGGTCTACTCCAGACCCTGTTCACCTGGGTGTCAACAATGGAGGCTGCTGAACAGCAAAGATTGCTGCCTGCTCCTTCTTCTGGAAGCTTTGTCCCAGAGGGGCACCGGTTTGAGGCCAGTTGGAGCTCTCCTCTGTGAGGTGTCTGTTGACCCCTTTTGGGAGGTGTCTCCCAGTTAGGAGGCATGGGGACCAGGAACCCACTTGAAGAGGCAGTCTGTCCCTTAGCAGAGCTGGTGTGCTATGCTTGGAGAATCCCCATTGTCAGGATCAGCTGCTCTCTTCAGAGCCGGCAGGCAGAAAAGATTAAGTCTGCTGAAGCTGTGCCCACCTCTGCCCCTCTCCCCAGGTGCTATGTCCTAGGAAGATGAGAGTTTTATCTGTAAGCCTCTGACTGGGGCTGCTGTATTTCCTTCAGAGATGCCTTCCCAGTGAGGAGAAATCTGGAGAAGCAGTCTGGCCGCAGCTGCTTCACTGCACTGTGGTGAATTCTGCCCAATCCAAACCTCCCAGTCTCCTTAGCACTGTCAGAGGAAAATCGCCTCCTAAAGTCTCAGTAATGGCAGATGCCCCTCCCCCGACCAAGCTCCATCATCCCAGGTCGACTCCAGACTGCTGTGCTGGCAGTGAGAATTTCAAGCCAGTGGTTCTTAGCTTGCTGGGCTCCATGGGAGTGGGACCTGCTGAGCAAGAACACTTGGCTCCCTGGCTTCAGCCTCCTTTCCAGGAGAGTAAATGGTTCTGTCTTGCTGGGGTTCCAGGCACCACTGGGGTATGAAGAAAACTCCTGCAGCTAGCTTAGTGCTTGCCCAAACAGCTGTCCAGTTTTGTGCTTGAAATCCAGGGCCCTGGTGGTGCAGGCTCACGACAGAATCTCCTGGTTTGCAGATTGCAAAAAATCCACTGGGAAAGCTGTACCCGGGGTGGGTACAGTCCCTCATCACTTCCCCTCGCTGGGGGAGGGAGGTCCCCCGGCTCCGTGCACTTCCTGGGTGAAATGATGCCCCACCCTGCTTCTGCTCACTCTCCCTGGGCTGCACCCAAAACCAGTCCCAGTGAGATGAACTGGGTACCTCAGTTGGAAATGCAGAAATCACCCACCTTCTGCATTGGTCTCACTGGGAGCTGTAGACTGGACCTGTTTCTATTCCACCATCTTGGCCCCTCCCCTTTTTTATCTTAATGGTACTTTTCTTCCCCTTCTCTTGGCCCACACTGAATGTTAAAATCAGACTTTAAATTGGTTTATGTAGACACAACGTAAATTAGGTAATAACCAATTTTTTTTTTTAAAAAAAAGGAGTGTTGGCTTATATTTGCTTTCACAAATTCAAGAGCTGTATTTTTACATAAAAGTTCCACCGAATATTAGTTATGTTCATTTCCCTTATGGATGCAAAGCAGAGATAAAATCCTTTTTGCCTTTTTTCTTTAGTTCTGGTAACAAGTGAGTTTCAGTTCTAATTTTTTCTACTAACAACTTATAGCCACAACTAAATGTTTTCAAATGAATTTTTAAAAATAAATGACGATTTTAGAATATAAACTTCAACAGAGGTTTCATGATTGATTACTCATTATTGAATACTAGGATCAAAAAATATTCTGAGATTTCCAAATCAGCATATGAGAACAAAGCTCTTCACAAGTGATATAAAGAAGAAAAGTCTTCTCATCCATTAAATATGCAGATATATATGCATTTATCTTTTTAAAAATATACATATGTGTGTGCATGGTGTGTATATGTGTCGGCATGCACACAAATTCAGGTCCAATAATTCACATTGACTTAAGACCTAGCTTTTATTTTGCTGACAATAGACTGTTACACCCCAAGTAGAAAATGTGTAGGGAGTGCTAAAACTGAAACCACATTTGCAGAAATTATGACAGTAAAAGAAATATGACATAGAAAAATTATGACAGTGAAAGAAATCCAGCCTAACTGACTCCATCTTGTTTCTAACCTCCAAGCTGTCCTTGTTAATTCTTGGCCATAGGCCAAGCTAATTGTGGAGGAAATTTAGCTTAACTTTAAAACAAAGATGATAACAGCTTCTTCTGGAAAGGAATCTCATCCTGACTCAGGGACCAAAAGCCTCCTTCAGAAAACTAACAAATTTGGCACAAGTTGAGGGTTGTGGCTCAGGAGCCATTCAGCCAAAGACCACAAGATTTGTAACCTCTTCAATTGCTCCTATAGAAAACATCATGATTGTAAAACCTAAGATTGGTGTTCAGGGTATTTTTCAGACCCTGCATGTGATTGGACCAGCTGTTGCACACCTGAACCAATAAACTGGCTCAACTGGTTTTGTGATCCCAGAAACTAAAGACAGTGAGAAGACAGCTTTAGCCTCCATGATTTCATCTTAGACCCAACCAATCAGCATTACCCATTTCCCTACCCCCCCGCCCAGCAAGTTATCCTTAAAAACCTTAGTCTCCAAATTTCCAGAGAGACTGTTTTGAGCAATAAATTCTGGTCTTCTGCTTCGCTGGCTCTGTGTTTATTAACATCTTTCTCTATTGGAAATCAGCTGTCTTGGCAAATCGATTCTATCTGTGCAGCAGGAAAGAAGAACCTGTCCGGCTTCTAGAAACTAGAAATCGAAACTGGAAACAGAACTAGAAAATCATCATTTTATAACCATCAAAATAAAGATTAGTTCAGGCACAAATCACAAAGATATTAAATCCAGAGCAATATTTTGATGAAAAATAGGATATTTGCATGGTCATAAAGTGTTTCTCCTGGACCACTTATGAGTAGCATGGGAAAATATAATAATTATATAGTGGAGAAATTGGATGACATCTTAACAGACGGATCGAAAGTAATGTTGCCATTGAGGAACATGAGGATGTCATGTGGCCCCAGATGTGATATGGTCAGGAATTCATAAATTAAATCTAATTATGAGAAAACACCAGAAAAACCCAAAGGAATATTCTAAGCAGCCAAAATCATAAAAGACAAAGAATCCTGTGGAAGTGTTCTAGCATATTCTAGATTAAAAGAAAATAAAGAGACATAAAAACTAAACATCTGATTTTAGACTAAATCCTGTAATGAAGAGAAAAGTACTATAAAAAAGATTGATAGGTCATTTGGCCGGGCACGGTGGCTCATGCCTGTAATCCCAGCGCTTTGGGAGGCAGGGGTGGATGGATCATTTGAGGTCAGGAGTTTGAGATCAGCCTGGCCAACATGGTGAAACCCTGACTCTACTGAAAATACAACAACAACAAAAAATTAGCCAGGTGCAGTTGTGCACACCTGTAATCCCAGCTACTTGGGAGGCTGAGGCAGGAGAAGCCCTCGAACCAGGGAAGCAGAGGTTGCAGCGATCCAGGATTGCAACACTGCACTCCAGCCTGGGCAATGGAGTGAGACTCTGTCTCAAAAACAAAAACAAAACAAAACAAAAAAGATTGATAGGTCATTTGACAGAATTAGAATACTGATGGTCGATTGGATTAAAAGATTTAATCTCATTTCCTGAAGTTGGTAACTGTAATGTAGTTCTGTCAGAGAATATCCCAATTCTTATGAAATATGCATGGGTATATTTACAGAGAAAGGACAGCCAAATGGAAAATGGAAATGGATAAAAATGTTAAAAATAGATGAATCTTGAGTTCCTCATGAAAAGAACTTGGAAGTCACAACTTTATTCTAACAAGTATAAACTTGAAAAAAAAAGTGAAAAATCAACAAGTATGCCAAGAGCCATAAGAAAAATTAGGTCAAACTGCTGCCTCCAGATTGAAAACAAAAAGGCATATACAGAGAATCACACCATACTGGAGCAAAATTCTCTGCAGGAACCAGTGCCAGGGTAAGGAAATCTGAACTTTAATTGATAAATTGTTGGAGGATCAGTGTGAACAAGTCTGAGAGTTAAAAATTCCATGAAGTTCCAGTTATAGGGAGCCCCCATGCTTTTGTATTCTTATCTCTCAAGGTTGACCAGGTTCACATTCTAAATATTGGAGAAAAATCCCCCAATGCTTCTAGCAAGGGGAGGGGAAAAGAAACCATTTTGAAGTATGCATGGCACTGCATTCTGCTTAATGAGGTCTACCCTGAAGAGGAATGAAATAGAGCCTAACTTGACAGGGTTTTAACATAGTCTAACTAACCTGTGAAAGAGAAAATGCACAACTGCAGCCAACTTTAGCTTCCACATGAGAGCAGAGAAATACTCAACTATAGCCCATCTAGCCATCCTGCCCCCACTTAAGAGTGGGAAATCAGAAACATTTGTGAAGGTTACAGTCCAAAGGCATAGGTTCACCAAAAGACTGAGACCTAATTATAGGACTGTAGAACATTTACACTCTCCCAACATTTCACCACTACATTACAAAAGGCCTAATTACAGCAGCTACTTTTATCCAATACATGTCTGGCTCTCAAAAAAAAAAAAAAAAATTACAAGGCATACTAAAAGGCAAAGAACAAAAAACAAATACAGATTGAAGAGAAAGAGCAAGCATGAGAACCAGGCATGATAAAAATGGTGGGATTATCAAACAGGGAATTTAAAGCAATTATTATTAATATGCTAAAAGCCCTAACGCATAAAGCAGACAGCATGCAAAAACAGGTGAGCAATGTAAACAGAGAAATGAAAATCTTAAGAAAAAAACAAAAAGAAATGCTAGAGATAAAAAAAAAATTCTGTAAGTTGCAAGAAATACTAAAAGAACGTGGTTGATGATGGCTCATGTCTGTAATCCTAGCACTTTGGGAGGCTGAGGGCAGTAGGCTCACTTGAGTCCAGGAATTTGAGACCAGCCTGGGCCAAAAATCCAAGACACCTGTCTCTACAAAGAATAAAAATAAAAATTAGCCAGGCATAGTGGCAACTGCCTGTGGTCCTAGCTCCTTGGGAGGCTGAGGTGGGAGGACTGTTTGAGCCCAGGAGGTTGAAGGTGTAGTGAGCAAGTGCCTGTAGTCCTAGCTCCTTGGGAGGCTGAGGTGGGAGGATTGCTTGAGCCCAGGAGGTTGAGGTGCAGTGAGTGTTGATTATGCCACAGCATTCCATCCTGAATGACAAAGCATGATTCTATTTTCAAAAGAAAAGAAATGTTAAAAGAAAATCTTTAGGGAGAGGATGAATAATTTAAGTCAGAAACTGGAGTTTATAGCAAGAAAGGAAGAGCATTGATTAAATAATGAGTGAAGGTAAATTAAAATTCTTTATTTTCCTTATTTTTGATTGGCCTGAGATTACAATTTGTTCAAAATAACAACAGCAATAATGTATTTTATTATATATGCTTATGTATCTATCTTATGTGTGTATATATATGTATGTATGCTTATATGTAAGTGAAATGAGTGACAGCAATGATACAAGAAATGGGAGGGAGGATTTAGGATTGTTATTATAAGCTATTCATACTATTCTGAAGTGGTAAGTGTTGTTTCAAAATGGGTTTATATTATTTGTAAACGTGTATTGCAAACTCTAAGAAATGAGAGGAAATTGAATCCTATAAAATGCTCAATTAAATACACAAAGGCAGAAAAAGAGTGAAATACAAAAATAGAAACAAAGAACCAGGGAGGCCAAGTGTGGTGTCTCACACCTCTAATCCCAGCACTTTGGGAGGCTGAGGCAGGTGGATTACTTGAGCTCAGAAGTTTGAGACCAGCCTGGGCGACATGGCAAAACCCTGTCTCTAAAAAAATACAAAAATTGGCCAGGCATGGTGGCATGTGCCTGTAGTCCCAACTACCTGGGAGGCTGAGGTGGGAGGATCACTTGAGCCCAGGAGGTCGAGACTGTAGTGAGCTGTGATTGCGCCACTGCACTCACCTGGGGAACAAAGAAAAACCCTGTCCCAAAAAAAAAAAAAAAAAAGGTCAACAAATAGAAAGTATTACAAATACAGTTGATATTAATCCAACTATACCTGTTATTACCTTGAACATCAATGGTCTAAATGTAACTATTAAAAGACAAAGATTATCAGAATGGATCAAAAAATAAGACCCAAGTATATGTTGTCTACAAGAAACTCACTTTAACTATAAAGACATATAGATTAAAAGTAAATAGATGGGCCAGGTGCAGTGACTCACGCCTATAATCCCAGCACTTTGGGAGGCTGAAGTGGGCAGATCATCTAAGGTCAGGAGTTCAAGACCAGCCTAGCCAACATGGTGAAACCACATCTTTACTAAAAGTAGAAAAATTAGCTGGCCGTGGTGGCGGGTGCATGTAATTCCAGCTACTCGGGAGGCTGAGACAGGAGAATCACTTGAACCCGGGAGGTGGAGGTTGCAGTGAGCCAAGATCGCGCCACTGCACTCCAGCCTGGGCAACAAAGAGAGAAACTCCGTCTCAAAAAAAAAAAAAGTAAGTAGGTGGAGAAAGATACACTATACTAGCACTAATCAAAAGAAAGCAGGAGTAACTCTGTGAACTTTAGGCAGAGCAGACTTCAGAACAAGGAAAGTTATCAGGAGTAAAGAAGAAGAATATTAAGTGACGATAAATGGGTCATTTCTCCACGAAGATGTAACAGTGCTTAACAGGCAGGAGCCTAACAGCAGAGCATCAAAACATGTGAGGCAAAAATGGATAGAAATGCAAGGAATAGGTGAATCCACTGTTGCAGTTGCAGACTTCAAAAATAGATGAATATGCATAAAAGATATTTCTATTTGTTCTTACTTTTAAATCTTTCTTTAAGATTGATATTTTCAAAGAAAATATTCCCATTATCTATAAAACACCACATATTGGGGCTTACACATACACACACACATACACATATATAGACAAATTTGTATTTTGTTTATTTTTCCTGAATATAGTATCTACATTGTACAGACTACAGTCATTAGAGAGGTGTCTGTTTTGACTTCAGTTGGACAAAGCTCACTTTGGGAAACTGTGAGGCATCCTAGGGCATAACTCACCCGAAGGGCATGAAAACTGTAGAGTCACAGCAAGTTCAAGCAAGTGAAAATGTGGAGAGGTCCTGAGTACAGCATGGGGTCTATACAGAGGTCTAATGGGATGATAGAGATCCTGAGTACAGCATGGGGTCTATACAGAGGTCTAATGGGATGTGACTGAATGTGAGAGAAATGCAGGTCCGTCCCCACCCTCCCCTAACATGACAACGCCCTGAAGCTTCGGAGAGTCATAGCTGAATCAGGGGACAGAGGGTTCTGGTGCCCGATGGATGGCAGAAAGGGGAGAAAAAAGGAAATATGGGGCATCGTGTGATAGCTGGTAGAAAAATAGGGCATCGTGTGATAGCTGGTAACACAGTTGGCTGTACTTGCTTGAATCACTCACCAACACTCTGAAAACTATGAGCACAGGGGAATAAAGTCCAGCAGAGACCATGATTACAGCCCCATTTAATACCCACAGGCAGATGACCTCTAGGGAAGCTTAGTGCATACGGTGGATGTGAAGTCTACACCTCTACACTTTCCTATGAAAAAGGCAACTGGTGCCCCAGTCAAGAGGCAGGCCCAAAATCACCATGTGAAATACAGGCAGATTTTCCTAATTTTTTCTTTTTACATTTATAAACACAAAGGCTTCAAGCAGAACAGAAAATCAATGTAAAACGAGAAGGTGAATACAAGTCTCCTGCTTTTACAATCAAGTATTCTGCCCGGAGAACACTGCTTTGGGGAAAATAAATAAAAAACAATGAAAGCTATTCATCAAACAGACACCACCCCTCTACTCCTCCCTTTACAAGAACTGCACTGCACGGGAAGCTGCTTTCTCCCGTCACTGATCACACCAACACCCACTGAAAAGAAAGAAGAAAATCTCCTCAGCTTTTTATCACCTACCTGTGGGAAAGCTTTTAGAAAGACGCTTCCTTAGACTTACATTATTTGGGGAATGAGAATAAGGAAAGCTTGGAGAGAGGGAGATGATGGTTTAAAAATATCAGGATAGGTAATTAACAAATATTGAAAAGAGTATTTCAACTGAGAAGAAGAAAGAAAAAATAAGAAAAAGGAGAAATAGAAAATAAGATTATAAAGAAATTAATTTACCATGCCCTGGCCTTCTTTAAGTTGATATTCTATTTAGACTGCCCCTTGCAAACAAACAAAAAGAGAAAGGAAAAAAAACTAAAGTTTTGGCAAGACAGTACTTTTTAGTGTGCTAGAGGTAATTTTTAAATATCTTGCTTAAAAACTAATGAACTAGTGAGGCAAGAATGTGGGCTTCTTTCTGTTGCCTATGACTCTGCCTGAGTCAGTGGATTTATAAAGAGCAAAGGGTCGCTCCTGAAGTTTCTCCAAGGATGAAATAACCACACATACCCATATTTATAAATCAAATGTTATTTCTTTGTGAGTTCAATTTATAAAATTAGTAATTCAACACATATTTACTAAGAAGGCCTGACTTATTTTTTAAAATGTTGCTTTTCCTTGGAAGTTAAGGGTTAGACATATCTACAAGGAAATCTGAAAAGTGATTTTACTAAAACTTTATATGTCCATCTCACAACCTACCGTGTGGCCATGAAGATACTCTAACACAGATAAGGTTGAATAAACTTGCAGTGTCCCCTTGGGTTGTTCATGTAAAGATGCTGGGCTCACCTAGCAGCTGTCTAACATCCTCCTCTAGTAACCATCTGACACACAGGAGTTATTGACCATTGCTGATGAAAAGCAAACGAGGAGAAAGTCAGCCCACTAAACACACATGGTGTCCTGCCTTTACCTGGGCCCTAACACACCCTCACTTCTATCATCTATACCGAACATGCCACACCATCCTACCATCAATAACTCTCCTTCCCTAGAAAAACTTTCACAAAACTTTAATATTGGCTCCTTTTAAAAATGCCTTCTAAGCCTCTTTTCTTGCAGAAAATAAGCCCATCTCTTTTGGGGGGAAAAATAAAGTCAGAAGGCAAGTCTCTGAGGTTTCTCCTTCTCCATCTCTCTCTATTAAAAAGGGTTCATATTGGTATCTTCTTGGTTGACGTTTCTCTTCAGCCCTGGGACGTTGTCGGTAGCCATGTTCTGTGACACAAAATGGAAAACAGAGAACATTGATTTACAGCTAGAGAGAAGAATGGAGCAGAGGTACATAGATGAGCAGGAATGAGAAGAAAGGTCTTCCCCAATTCCCTTTAACGTTGCTGTCCTCAGTTTCCTTTTGTTCATAATTTCCAACTCAATTCCAGGCGGTTCAAGAATCCTTCTCAAAATATTTCATCTTTGGTTACTTGGTTTTAGATTCATGACACACAATATCTTAACTACCATAGCCACTGTAAAATGTTCTATGTTTGGGAAATGTTACATGTTGAATTTTATTCTCCAAAAGATATGCTGAAGTCCGAATCCCCAGGACCTGTGAAAGTGGTCTTATTTGGGAATAAGGTCTTTGATGATGTAATCAAGTTATGATGAGGTCGGACTGAATTAGGATGGACCCTAATTTAATGTCTGGTGTCTGAATAAGATGAGGAAAATTAGGACGCAGACACATAGGAGAATGCCAGGTAAAAACATGGAAAGAGACTCCCAGAGGAAAGACAGTGGAATGGTGACAGAGGTGGAGATGGGAGCAATGCACCGAAAGCCGGGAACGCCAAGGACGGCTGGACATTGCCAGAAACTAGGAGAGTGGGGAGCAAAAGTGACCTCACCTTGATGTCAATCTGCCACGGTGACTTCTGATCAACCCCAGTCTTGTGAATGCCTCCTGATTCCTACTTTACGTACTGTCCCTTGTGTAAATGTCAACCTTGACATTATTGCGCAAATCATAGGCTGTGATGTACCTGGCATTCTTGCCCCTTCTGGAGAGCTGCCCTTAGTTATTCATACAGACGATGTACACCTTTTCCCTATGAGCCCTGGGTCTGGGGGTAACAGGTGCAGAGATCTGCCTATCTGCCTGTCTTGCTGCCACCCAAGATTGCGCTTCTGTCTATAAATTCTCCAATAAATCACCCTCTACTGACAAGCTGGATTTGTCTGCCTCGTTCTTTGGTTTCTCAGCTGCTTTGGCATTTGCAGACCACTTTCCATATACAGTCTTTCCAGGGAACAGAGAGAGACATGGAATAGATTCTCCGTCAGAGTCTCCAGGAGGAACCAACCCTGCTGACACCTTGACTCTGAACATCTATCTGCCCGAACTGTGAAAGAAAACATTTCTCTTGTTTCAACCACCAAGTTTGTGGAACTTTTGTTACAGCAGTCCTAAGAAACTAACACAGGAGACATATTAAGAAGGTTTTCTGCTGGGACCCTGAGGCTAAAGGTCAAAGTGACAGGCTCAAAGCAAAGTCACAGATCTGGCAAGTAGAAGGCCTAGTCCTGTGATATTTCTCAGATGTCATACAACTATTACATATAAATGACTCCAGCTGAATTTCATATATCTGTAGATTAGTCTTTGATTGACCTCCTACTTCTAGGTAATACTAGTTTATTTTAACCAGTCAAGTTTACAAAGAAATAAAAAAATTGTTAAAAACAAATATGTTAAGCAAGAGGGTGTAATGTAGAATGCTATCACTGTCACGTATGACATTCTGTGACACCTCAAGGCAGTACTTGGTGGTGACGATATTATAGGCACTATTGCCTAAGCGATCACTTTAGAAACAAACCAAGCCTCGCTGAATCTTTAAGGTTGTTTGTCTCGTTTTCTGATGGATTTTGGATTGTATTAAAGTTTTTCTTTTTCATGAGAACACAAGGCACATTAATGTTATGAGGGATACAGGCCGGGCATGGTGGCTCACACCTGCAATCCCAGCACTTTGGGAGGCCGAGACGGGTGGATCACAAGATCAGGAGTTTGGGACCAGCCTGGCCAACACGGTGAAACCCCATCTCTACTAAAAATACAAAAATTAGCCAGGCGTTGTGGCGGGAGCCTGTAATCCCACCTACTGAGGAGGCTAAGGCAGGAGAATGGCTTGAACCCAGGAGGCAGAGGTTGCAGTGAGCAGAGATCGTCTATCGCACTCCAGCCTCGGCGACAAGAGCAAGACTCCATTTCAAAAAACAAAACAAAACAAAAAACAAAAAACAAAAAATGTTATGAGGGATACAAATACAAAGAAAGGAGAGGACAACCATTGCTTGTGTGCAGGTTCTATACCAAACATTATGCTAAGCACTTTTATATCCTTATGTCTAATTTATGCAGTACATACTATTATTCCAACTTTATTTTATTATTTATTTATTTTTGAGACTGAGTCTCGCCTTATTGCCCAGTCTGGAGTGCAGTGGCGTGATCTCAGCTCACTGCAACCTCCACCTCCCGGGTTCAAGCCATTCTCCTGCCCTAGCCTCCCGAGTAGCTGGGATTACAGGTGCCCGCCGCCATGCCCGGCTAATTTTTGTATTTTTAGTAGAGATGGGGTTTCAGCATGTTGGCCAGGCTGGTCTTGAACTCCTGACCTCAAGTAATCTGCCCACCTCAGCCTCCCAAAGTACTGGGATTACAGCTATGAGCCACCGCACCAGCTATTCCCACTTTAAAAAGACCCTGGGTCTCACAAAAGGTATGTGATTGACCCTAAGTTGCATAGTAAGTGGTAGACCCGAGTGAAGTGTCTGCCTGAAGCCACAACCCATACCCATTCCATTCTACTGAGCTGACTTGGCATTTGCAATCAAGGCCAGAACTTAATACACAGACTTCCTGCTCAAGAGCAAAATGGAATAAAATAAATGTAGGTTTAAGAAGGAAAGTCATCACAGCACAGAAAAACCAGAAAGGGTGTTATGAATAGACTAGATTCTTGAAAAGTTCTTGGAAAATAGCAGATGAGATGAGATTGATTTTTAAACAAAAGGTGAAGCCATAGCCCAAGACAGCAGAGAAAAATGTGGGTTTCCTCCCACTCTGGAGTAAATCCATAAAAGGAAAAATATAGGGCTATGACATAGGATGACCAGGGGATGATTTAATAAAGAGACTTTTTGAGACAGTTGTCTCCCTTCTCTGTATGTAAACGGAATGTCTGGTAGACATTACTTGTGACCTTGGAAATCCCATGACCTGCTCTCTAAGGAAAGGAGGCTGCTTGTCCAAGAAGGCCTCTCCTGAAGACAGTGGGACCCACGGAAGAAGCAGAGCCTAAGAATACAGTTCTCCCCAGTAGAAAAAAAAGCAGAAAAACAACAAAAAGAAAAGCAAAGTTTCCGCCCCAGACCAAAGCTCTCCTTACTCTGCAAACTGAAAGTCCCCAAATGGCTGCATGCTCCGATTGCAGGTTGAAAGACTGACTCCCTGACTGCTGGGAGAGACACGCAGCTGTCAGCTGCAGTTCCCCAGACGTTTGGCGAATTACCTCAGGCTGAAGAAAGCCACTTGCTGAAGTCCAGGCCCCCTCCCTCTGGCATCTGTCTCCCCATGACTAGCATTTGCCAGGGTATAAAGACTCTCTCTGTTTGGCCTCCCTGGGCAACTGTGAAGAGCCTGTCCAGTTTCAGACTGCCTTGGGGGTTGGCTGAGGCTTGATGTTGATTGCGTCAGTGTCCAACTTCTCTCTCTACCCCATCGTATTTTCTTCCCTTCTCCCACAAAAGTTGATTGCCAGAGAATCTGAATGTGCCTGGGATGCAGGGCCAGCTCTCAGCACCCAAGACATCTAAAGATGAAAACCACAGCAATGGCTGTGGTAGAGCAAGGTGGTACCAGGTTTTCTAGAATAACGATAATTTATTATTTCTTGGGTTTGAAATTTCCTGTGTGTAGGTATTAGTGTCAAATAAGTAAAATTTGAATTTCTTTAATGAAAATATAAATTGCTTTTATATGATGAATATAGCTACTCAAAAACACCATATGTTACAGAATTCAAGGATTTTCCTTGCTGACATTTTCTTCGAGGAAAAGCTATCTTTAAATGTATACCATACTTTTAATAAGTGTTTAAAGTTTTATTTAAAATAGCATAACAAAAGGACTTTTTTTTTTTTAGACGGAGTTTTGCTCTTGTTGCCCACCCTGGAGTGCAATGGTGCGATCCTGGCTCACGGCAGCCTCCCGGGTTCAAGCAATTCTCTTGCCTCAGCCTCCCGAGTAGTTGGGATTATAGGCATGCACCACTATGCCCGGCTAATTTTGTCTTTTTAGTAGAGACGGGGTTTCTTTCTCCTTGTTGGTCCGGCTGGTCTCCAACTCCTGACCTCAGGTGATCCGCCCACCTCGGCCTCCCAAAGTGCTGGGATTACAGGTGTGAGCCACCACGCCCGGCCAAGGACATTTTTTTGAAAATTCAAGTTGTCATATTTTAATTAAGATTCCATTTAAAATTAATCATATCTACATTTCTGACCAGAAATGTTTATTTTCTTCTTTTCATCGCATACGAATATGATGTAGTTTTAGTTGGCCAAATTTCTCCTCTTTCAATTAAAAGCACTAGACTTAGAATCTGGCCGCTATGGGAAGTTTGTTTGCTGTCATTTTGTTTTAGTTTTTTCTTCCCCAGAGATATTCTGAAAAGACTTGATATTATTGGTCAAAACCTAATTGCTAATGTTCTGGCCAGTAAATTCAAACCAGGTATATGGTAGATCCAGCTTTGTTCTGTTCTTCATGTAACAAAAGTTCATTGACCAAAAAAAAAAAAAAAAAAACAAAACGGCTAATGTTGGATAATGGTTTTTGCTCAAGGTGTTCCATGTTTTTGGCTGTGGAATCGACTAGAACTTCAGCAGTCGTCCAGGAAAAGCCTGCAGGGCAAGGACTGTGTGTGCGGACCGCTCAGTGGGCAGTTTGGAGCCGCTTTGCCCTGAGTGTCAGGCCCGAGCTGGCGCGAACCTGCAGGAAGCTCCTGCGCTCCAGCGGGGGTGCGCACTGGGGAGGGAGGCAAGAGCCGTCACCCGCGTCTGCTGTCATGGGGACACGCTGCCTAATTTCCCGATTGAACCATGAGCAATAAACCAGATAAAGCCAGGGTGCTCTGGGACGGACACGCCTAAGGAGCTGGCCACCTGCGCGGCTCCCTTGCGTCCTTCCGGAGTCGCATTGAACTCAGACGGCAGATCGCGCGCCCCCACGCGGCGGGGCGGGAAACCTGCTGTCCCCTGCGAAGGAACCACGCGGGGGCGCCGCGCCTGCCCAGCGCCTGCAGCCCGGAAGAAGTCCCCGTGTCCCGGGTCCTGATGCGGGGTCTGAAGCGGAAGCGCGGCCGCAGGGCCCGGGATCCGAAAGGACGAGGAGGAGAGGAAGAGACCCTGGCGCTCAGCTTCAGCTGCCAGCAGTGGCAGCCTCCACCCCAGTGAAACAGAGCGGCCCTGGACGGCAGAAAGCTCAGGTGGAGCACGTTACAGCGATTTTAGCCCATTTGCTCCACTTCTTAATTGACGGCGGTTGGCCGGTTCCTTCCTCATTATACTCAATGAGTTGATATCTCTCACCAAAGCACCCCCGCTTTCTCTCTCTAAATTTCTTCCATTAAGAAACTCAGACTTGTTGCAACCTAGCATTTGTCACATGCCTGCTCTGTGTCTGACAGTGTGCAAGGGAGCGTGAGGATGCAAAATAAGACTGACATGCTTCACCCCTTAGGGAGTCTAGTAATTTTGGAAAGACATGATCCATGAAATCTTTGGAGAAAGATATAAGACAAGATATAATCAAGTGTCACAATGTAGTAGAGGAAGCAAGGGCCACGGCCCGTCAGACAAGGTAGAGATCTGGGCCAGGGACGAAAGAGAAGATGGGGCAGGGAAGGCACCAGGAAGGAAGAATGGGTCTGGATGAGAAAGAAATTACACACAATCCATTTAGGACGTGGGATTTTCATAGAGGCGGGCAATGAGGACCCCAGGATACCCTGTAGACTTCTGTGGGACAGAAGGGAGAGGCTGCCTCTGCAAATCTGGTCACTATGAGTGATGGTTGCTACCTTTAAGGATCGAGGTACATGTATCTGACCACTGAGAAGTCTGCTGGTCACAAAAAAATATCATTAATGAATAATATGGGATGGTCTATCTCACAGGTGAAAAAGCTGAGACAAAGAGATTTTATAAACAGATTGATGCTGCTTACTTTCTTCCCAATTTTATGTACCAAGATTTTTGGTGAGGAATCAGGTATCTTCCCTTATATTTAGCATGCACTAGTTCTTGGCACATTAGAAACAGAAAGAAATAATTAGTTGTGGATAACTGAATGTACACTTTGTAATACACTGAGAGCTATTTACTAAAAAAATTAAATTTTAAGTTCAGGCTTTTATAGAGGCAAGAAGTGTGTAAAAGCAAACATGACACCTCCCACTGCTGTCGTTCCCAGCGCGTCGTCATGTCCGCAGCCAGCACAGGGAAGCCTGTTGTGCTCCCTACGATAAGCAAACAACCAAAGAGTGGTCACTGTCGTTCTAGTCCACAAGCTCAATGGAGGCTTGAGCCACCATTCCTATAATCTGCTGACTCCATAAGAAAATGACTTTATTCCTGATCTTTGCAATAGTGATTATATTATCACTTTCAGATGTGATAATTATATAAGAAATCTATTGTTTTGCTACCGTGACTAAACTAGTGATAGCCTCAGTAAGCTTGTTGATGTTGCTTCTTTTTTTCTTACCTGTTGAGTGTTTTCCACGAAGACAGAAGAAATGAGTGTCACTTCTAGCCTTACAACAACAGCAAAACCCCAAATAAACGGTGAGTTAACAACTTTTCTGGAACCCACCAGAAAGCTGAGCAGGACAACCAACGGTCCTGAAATCTGAGGAGAGAGGAGCCTCCAGGGGGAGATGAAATGCCAGCACTGTTTTACCTGGGCAGATTGAGACCAGTGCGAAGAGCTCAGCACAGGTGACTGGTTGATTGATGGGGACTGAGTGTGCCTTGCTGAGGCAGAGTAAAGCACTAAGGGCCACGTATATAGGGGAAGTCCATATCCTCTTGCAGAATTTTTCTACCTGAATCAGATGAAAATTAAAGAATCTTGAGAAAGTTTGTTTTGTAGTATAGACTGGGGAAAGAAAACTTTAACCACTGTAGGAGAAGCAAGGAATTTCACCAGGATCCTTCCCCCATGTCTCTTGTGAAACCAAAGTTTTTATCTGTGTATATGTGGTGAAATGGGGAGTGGTGGTGCAGGATTCACATGGAACCCAGGCCTACAGCAGCTAGAGGAAAAGTAGGGCACTGAGAAGGCTACCCCCCACCGACACCCAGGGGTTCACTGCCTGCCTAGGACTGAGGCCTATCCAGAACAACAGAAGTTACACCCATCCACACATGCACACTGCCAATGAGCAAGTCTCTAGCAATATGTAACTTACAAGAAGGAGACAAGCCAGGCCCAGTGGCTCATGCCTGTAATGCCAGTGCTTTGGGAAGCCAAGGGAGGAAGCCCACTTGAGCCCAGGAGTTTGAGACCAGCCTTGGCAGCATAGTGAGACCTCATCTCTAAAAAAAAAAAATTAAAAATTAGCTGAGCATGGTGGCATGTGCCTATGGTCCCAGCTACTCAGGATGCTGAGGTGGGAAGATCATTTGAACCTGGGAGGCAGAAGTTGAGATCATGCCACTGCACACTGAAGCCTGGGCCACAGAGCACAAAGTGAAACCCTGTCTCAAAAAAAAAAAAAAAAAAAAAGAAAGAAAGAAAAAGAAAAGAAAAGAAAAAGACCCTCTCTGAGGCATAGGTGCATAGGTCACAGGGAAGACCAAAAGCAAAAGGAAGAGACATAAAAAAAATCCCCTGGCCCCTGGCAAAGCAGCCACAACCCTAAACCCAATATATCTCCAGAGGAAGTTTAAACCTGTGGTACCTAGAGGTGACCGTAGCACAGCAAACCTAAGCCCAGTTCAACTCCTAATTAGATTAATAATTCAACTCTCCACACTAAAGACCTACAAGAAGGAAAGGCATGCTCATTTCTAAGCAGGAAAAAAAACTTCATGTTTACAGTTTTAAAGAAGATGCCCAACTTTCCCCACAAAACTTAAGACACACACAAAATAACAAGAAGAAAACAACACTCTCCCAGGGAGCCAAGCAGGCTTAGCTATGCACAAACCTTGGAAATTTATTAACCTTGATTAACATGTTAAAGGCTGTAATGGAAAAAGCAGACAGCATGCAAGACCAGAAAGGTCATTTCAGCAGAGGGATGAAGATTTAAAAAACAATTGGATGGAAATACTAGAAAAGAAAAACCTAATAGAGATGAAGATTGCCCTGAAGTGATTATTAGTAGACTCCAAACAGCTGAAGAAAGAATTAGTAAAGTTGAAAAGTCTGTAAAAATTACCCAAAATGAAATGCAAATAGAAAACATGGAAACAAACAAACAAGCAAACAAAAACAGAGTACCCATGATCTGTGAGACAACACAGTCTAACATATGTATAATCAAAAGCTCAGAAGGAGAAGGGAGCCAGGCACAGTGGCTCACGCCTGTAATCCTAGCACTTTGGGAGGCTGAGGCAGGTGGATCACCTGAGGTCAGGAATTCAAGGCCAGCCTGGCCAATATGGTGAAACCTTGTCTCTACTAAAAATACAACAAAATTAGCCAAGCATGGTGGTGCGGGCCTGTAATCCCAGCTGTTCGGGAGACTGAGGCAGAAGAATTGCTTGAACCTGTGGAGCAGTGAGCCGAGAGCATGCCAGTGCACTCCAGCGTGGGCAACAGAGTAAGACTCCATCTCAAAAAAAAAAAAAAAAAAAAAAAAAAGGAGAAAGGAAAACAAGGCAGAAGGAATATTTTAAGAACTAAATACCTTTTTTTTTTTAACTTGGAAAGTTAGTTCCTCTAAAGGCTGTATCTCCTTATAAAACTTCACTCCATGTAATCTATTTTTTTTTTCAATGCTTTTCTCTCTGTATGTTCTCTTGGCAAGTGATAAATAACATAAAATCTAAACTACATTTCTAGTTTTGGTGTTAAATACACACCTCTTGCCACTCAGATCTTTTTACAGTGTTTGACAACTAATAATGATTCCTAAAGGAATTCAGTGGAACCCTAATCCTGGGAGATAATCTACTAGAAGAAAAAGTTATTCAGGACAATAAATTTGAAAAATTCTGATTACAATCTCTGTATTAGATTGAACACAAATCAAATGATGAAATGTTCTAAAAAATCTTTACAATAAAAAAAAAAAAGGCTTAATGGTTTTAACCCAGCATTTTCTAAATCTGTTTGACCATACGTATTTCTTTCTTTGGAACATACTACTTATTAAAATTGTGTGAAATTGATGTTAAAATGAATCAATTTTAGGTAATTATAATCAAGGCCTTTGTTCTTTTCTAATTTTCTTTTCCTTTTTTCAGGTTTATTTTGGTCTATACAGACCTTCTATCAACTGGTACCCAGCCATTTCTCAAACCACATCTTGTATTGTTCTCTACTGTACTTGCCATATTTTAGTCACAGGTTTGTTATCCCTTAAACGTTCCAACCTCATTTCCTCCGTAAGAACTTGGCACTTGCTGTTCTTTCGCCTCGGATGTTTTTCTGTTAGATATTTGTATGGTTTATTCTTTCATCTCATTCAGGTCTCTGGCAAACGTTACCCATTCAGACAAGTCCTCATTAGCCACCCTTTCTAAATTACCATCTCACTCTATCATTCTTTATCCCTTTATTTTCTTTACTTTTCTTCATAACATTTATTACTACCTGACATTGTATTTCACATTCTTTGCTTCTCTCTGACTCCTAGAGAAGAATGTAGATTTCATAAGGTCAGGGAATTTTTTTTTTTTTTTTTTTTTTTGAGAGGGAGTGTCACTCTGTCACCTAGACTGTAGTGCAGGGGCGCGATCCCGGCTCACTGCAAGCTCCGCCTCCCGGGTTCACGCCATTCTCCTGCCTCAGGCTCCCGAGTAGCTGGGACTACAGATGCCCACCACCACGCCCGGCTAATTTTTTGTGTTTTTTAGTAGAGACGGGGTTTCACTGTGTTACCCAGGATGGTCTCGATCTCCTGACCTCATGATCCGCCTGCCTCAGCCTCCCAAAGTGCTGGGATTACAGGCGTGAGCCACCGCACCTGGCCAACGTCAGGGAATTTGTTTCTATCTTAAGGACTACACTCTTGATGCCTAGAATTGTAACTGCTGTCATTCTAGAATGACAGGCACTCAATAAAAATGTTTAAACGAATGAAAGACGAATGGATTAGTCTGAACCACCTGTATTGGGTCTGTGTTCTTCTCTAATTTATCCCTAATTGGCCTAGCTAGCCTATGTCATATCAGACTTGTTCAGCTTTCTAAGAGGTGATACACAAATTGAAAAACATTCTTTCTCTTAGTCTTAATTGTTAAAAGATACGTCAGTATAAAGTAAAGACTGCCTGACTTCCACACTATAATTCTATCGGCTACTTCTTTTTTTCTGGATTGGTCTTGCACTAATTTATGTAATGTAGGGGCATCTGAAAATGTACTCTGCTAGTAAAAGATCTTAATGCTATGTAGCTTTGCCTAATTTTTAAGGAAAAAATATATCTTTCTCTGGGTGATTATCTCAGTCTCAAACCATCTTTACCATTACTAAACAATTTTAAGCTACCAGTGCAAAAGAATTTGTGTGCATTTAGAAAATATGAACCTTATGCAAGGAATTCACTATCTTGGAAAGTAATTTTAAAACAACAAAGTGGAAGAACATCGAAATGTATATGACAGAAAAAACTATTTAAAGCTCCATATCAATTATGAGCCTAGATAAACACACAGAGGACATCTATAATACAATATAAAATAGATCTGGTCTTCATCCCATGGTCCCATGTTTCTGGTACAGAGCTGCAAAAACCCTTGGAATTTCCAGCGTGATGGGAAAATTTCTGTTATGTTAATGAGGCAGCTCCTGGTGGGGATGGAGGGTGCCTAGGTGGCTTCAGGATTGGGATTGATACCCAGAAAGGCCAAACTTGTGTTTCGAGAATTGGAACTCTGGACCAGCCTGACCTCTGGGGAAAGCATGGGTGCTGAAGGTTGAATTTAATCACCTGACCAGTGATTTACTCAATCATCCTAGGTGATGAAACCTCAATAAAAGCTCGGGCCATTGAGGCTCAAAGGACCTTCCTGACTGGTGAACCTGTAAGTGAACCAGGATGCTGGCATGCCACGACTTCCCAGGGACGAAAGCTCCTGGGCTCAGGACTCTCCTAGAGCTTGCCCTATTACTTCTTCATGTGGCAGTTTATGTATATTCTTTATAATGAAATGATAATTCTAAGCAGCACTTTCCTGAGTACTGTGAGCCATTTGAGCAAATTTTATAATGAAATGATAATTCTAAGTAGCACTTTCCTGAATACTGTGAGCCATTCTAGCAAATTATTCAATCTAAAGAGATTGTGGGAAGCCCTGAATTTGTAGCTGGCTGGGCAGAAGTGTGGTAGCTTAGGGATACCCAAAGCTGTGGCTGGTGTCTGAAGTGGAAACAGTCCTGTGAACGACTTTGCTCTTAATATGTGGGTCTGTGCTAACTCCAGGCAATAACTGTCAGAATTAAACTGGATTACGGGACACCCAGTTAGTGTCAGCAAATTGATGTCAGAACACAGCATACTAACAGAAAACTTACTTATAAGATATAAATGTTTACACAAGCATTTTGCCTTTCATTCATAATAAAAACTTTTGATCATTCTTATAGTATATTAAATTATTTCTTCTAAAAGTAAAGATCAACCTTTTGTGAATTATTTCCTCATTCAAAAGTAAACTAATATGTTGCATAGACCTAAGGTAATGGAGAAAGTAAATTCTTTGAACTTTAATGAATTATTTATCTTTCCTAAAATTTAAGACCATTCAAAAACTAATTTGTTTTAAACATTTGACTCAATTTTTTAAATATTTTCTTTTATTTCAGCAGTTGAAAATTGTGATATTTAGATTTTTCACTTTCTATTGTTGTTTTAGGGTAACATTTTACAGCAAATAATTCCATGTTTCTCTCTAAAATAATATTGAAAAATTTGAAGAATTGATGGCATCAAACATACATTTCTCATTCTGCTGTTCAATATTTTCCTCTTATTCTTATTTTTATCCTGGCTCCTATACAATAAAGATTCAGTATAGATGGAAAAATAATGCCAAATCCAGAGGTTTAAGGATAAAGGTTTGTTACTCTAGAAGTAAGCAAGGAAAGTTAAAAATTACCATCTCAAATGGAATGACTCAACTAGACATTTGGAAAACAAACAAAAGTTAAAGATAAAAGAAGCTAACTCATTTTTAAAACTAAGCACATGTAAAACCTTGAAATAATGAAAAAGAAAATTCATATTTTTATTTTAAAAATGTATAATTTAAACTATATTTACATAATAAAATCTATATTATATATAACATATATTACACATGTATGCTGTGTAGAAGTGAATGAAAACTGCCCATGAATTTGAGCTGAGGATTTGAGACATTTTGAAATCAACTCTTCCTCAATTACAAAATTCAGCTTTAAGAATAATGAGAGTCAGCATAGTGTGATATTAAAGTGTAAGTTTTGAAATCAAACATTTTGATTTCACATAGATTCAGCTATGTGAATCTGCGCAAGTTACATTTCTCCTCCTTGGCTAAGCCATCTGTAAGAAGGGAGGATGTTATGATAATTGGGGTGCAGATTACTTATCATGCAAAATGGCTAGCTCATCATTGGCACCTGCAAATGTTAGATAATTTGACCTGAATAACCCTAGACTTCGCAGTCTGGGACTATAACTGATGATGTGAGAGAAATGCTTGGAAAAGAAAGCTGGATTTTTTAAATTGTTGTGAACAATGTAATTGATACGTTTTAATCTTTCCATCCATGAAACAAAGAGTGAATGTTTTGCTATTAAGCTGTTTTTTCTAAACTCCACGCCTCTCTGAGCCTGAACCGCACATGCCCATGCTTTACCAGGGTCACGCAAGCAGATGCTGGAAATGTGCTTTGCTCCAACATCACTGTCAATCACGGGAATCTCCATTTCTACTTTGCATTTTTTTCTGGGAGAATCATGTCAAAATTTTGTGGGGAAAGTGAGAGGAAATCTCTAATGTCTAATATACCATTTTTCTGTGCATTCTAATCCATACAATTAAAGAACATGGGAAACCATTGAATTGGGTCTGTAATGGAAACATGGGATTGTCTTTATCCATGTCTGTGGTTCAATGGTTCATCATTATTTGTTATTGAACTGAGTCACAAAGGAAGCTGGATGGAGCCTGAGAAGCAGGCGTATAACGTTAACCTGAATTTAAATAAGAGTCCCTGAAACAATACCCTCTGACATTTCTTAAAGTGTCAGATAATACAGCAAAGTCAATGAAAATGTCCTTTAAAATAGTCACTACCCACTCATTTCAGGGAAAATGCCTGGAGGAGTTGTTATGGCTACTGGTTTTATTTCTGAAAGTCATTGATTTCTTCTTGAAATGATTATTTTTCAAAGACAAACAAAATGTTTGGCACTTGTTTGTGAAATTAAATTTTTCATAGTCTGTGAAACACCTCAAAATCAAATGAAATATTTCTTAGGCTGAGTAGCTTTTCCCATTTCGGAAAGAATGTTAGGCTGCAAAATCTTATGTGATTTCGTTTTCATGGCATTTGCCAAGTTAAGTGAATCTGAATGTGAAAGTCAGTTAATATTAACGATCCTAAGAAACAAACTGAACAAATCTGGATTTAGACTTCCTCTTAATTACTTTGCAATTTATCCTCTTGGCTGGGTTCAACTAAAACCCCGTAAGTGTTGTCAGCACAAAAAATGAAGCTCCCTTCTCTGGCTTAATCTTTCTTAAACTATTCTAACAACTTGGTGTTACAGTTGGGGTTTTTTGAACAATCTTCACAGGCATATAAAATGTATCTTCTAGGCTGGGATCAACAGCTTTGCACCTGCCCGTAACTTTGTAAAGCTTCATAGTCACTTTCTATCTGTAATGAATGGAAAGAGCTATCAGTCTGGCAAGCAACAGCGTGAAGGATATTGGCAATCCAAGCTCACGATGCAATCTGAATTTCAAAGTGCACAAGAACTTTTGACGATGATTTTATTTAATTTTATTTTCCCCAAGTATAGTTTTTTAAATCTATGCCGCACCTTCTGCTTGCTTTATTTATTTATTTATTTATTTATTTATTTATGTAACAGCACAGTCTATGTTTACCTGAGTAAAATAAAATCTTCTACTTGAAAATTGGAATAAATCGAAGTCCCTTGGATTTCAGCCTCTAACTAAGAGAGATTTTGTTCTGCCTACAAAACAGAATATAGCAGAAATGTTGAGCTGCATTGACATAAAAATCTTACTATAACTTTCACATACCTGACTGCCTCACTTTTGTTTCCCTTTCTTCAATATTATAATTTTCTCCCCCTCTGTAAACATATTACTCACAACACAACAGAAAGACATAAATCAGGACTACAAAATGAGACATGAGAGGTCGGGGCACATTAATCACGTGTGGGGCAGGTGATTTAGCAGAAAGTGAGGGGGATTGATGAGGTCTCGGTGCTGTGTGGTGTGGCTGCAAGGCTTCAGGCGAGTCTTTGTATGCTTTTGTGCTCTCCTCTGGCAACGTGTGGATGAGAATGCAAAGACTGGGTGGTTACTCTGAAGAATCGATATGATTATAACTATGTTGGCTGCAATTTATTAAATTTGTATTGTTTGCCGAGAGACTATTATAAATCTTTACATCAATTAATTCTTAGGACATCCATATAAGGTGGCTACTATTATCCCCATTTAACAGATAAGGCAATTGAAGCACAGGGATTCAGCTCCTGTTCCTAGCCACTGTCAAGATTGCTTCTCAAAAATGCACTGGATCAAATGCCACTGGATCAAAATCCATGTTCAATGTTTGTTTTCTTTATGCTTTCACTCCAGAAAGGCCTTGCTGGATTTCTCCCCTCAGTCTATTAGCATTAGATCTTATCCTTTTTTTCCAATCACATCTCTACACAATGGTCCATTCTTCATCGAAAGGAAGCATAAAAATAGCTTCCCCTGGGTCTTTAGGTCTTTATTTTTGAAGGCTCCTATCATGTAAAGCTTAGATTAAACAAAGTTGTCATGCTTGTCTCCTGTTAACTCATCTTTTATTATAGAAGTATTGGCCGTGACCCTTGTGATGGGTGAGGCAAGGCATCACATCCTTTAGCACCTATAATATTCTGTGTTATTTCAGTCTCTTTAGAGTTATTGAAGCTTGTTTTACAGTCCAACAGATGGCCTGTCCTGGAGAATGTGCGTTGAACTTCCTTGAGAAGAATCGGTATTTTGCTCATGTTGAGCAAAGTGCTCCATCAATGTCTGTTAGGTCTAGTTAGTTGACCATGTTGTTAACATCTTCTATTTCTTTTTGATCTTCTCCCTAATCACCATACTCATTGCTGAAATGGATATTAAAAACCCGGCTGTTGAAATGTACATTTTCCCTTCAATTCTGTCAGGTTTTGATTCATGTATTTTGGAACTTGTATATGTGTTTATAATTGTTATGTCTTCCTGATGGATTGACTCTTTTATCATCATGAAATTCTCTTCATTATCTTTAGCTACAAATTTTACCTTCTGGACTATTTTGTCTGACTTTAATATAATCACTTCAGGTTTATTTTGGCTACCGTTTGCTTGTCTTTTTCTATCCTTTTACTTCCTATCTCTGAATCCAAAGTGTGTCTCTTTTAGATAGCATACAGTTGTATCATTTGTAAAAATTTATCTGCTAGTGTCTGCCTTTAAATTGCAGTGTTCAATTCATGTACATTAATATAATTACTGATAAGGTAGAATATGTGTCTACTATTTTGTGGTTTGTTTTCTATGCATCTCATGTCTTTCCTTATATATTTGCTGACATCTTATGTCAATCCCATTGTGGCCCATGGGTGAGATTTATTTATGTATCTCATAGAAAATATGAACATGTCCAAAACTGAATCTATATTGATCTCCATTAGGTTCTCTCTTCAGTGTTTTCTCGTTTAGGAAAAAGTAATAGTATTCATTCACTTATGTATGAAACCTAATTGCCATTGGTTACATTTCCATCTTCTTCACTCACCTCATCTGATGACTCACAAATATCTACATATTCTCCCTATTGAAATCATGCACCTTTCCTGGTCTCTGGCCCACTCTCTCAGGTCTGACCTCTGTCACAGCATGCCAGTTCTCACTCTACATTCCAGACTCAATTCTACAACTAGATTGATATTTCAAAAATGCAAGTATAATTATGTCAGCATAAAAATCTTGGTGGTTTCCCATTGCTCTAAATTTTGCAATCCTTGGCATGCTTTAAGCTACCCGCCTGATGCATTCCCTCCTTTCTGCCAACTCTCTCACCTTGAACCTTGCCCCTGACCTGCAAAGCTTCTTTCCATTATCTGATCACAGCCTCCTCTCACATACAGCTTTTCCCTGAGAAACACTTTTCTTTTCATCTTCTCCTTTATCTAACCAGTTCCCCTCAGTACTTAAGGTTGTTATCTATTAATTATTTTGTACCCCCAAAATAATTTCCTGAAACTTCTATTTGAATTATCTTCTAATATTTACTTTCATAGAATTCTGTGCCCTTTTTATCATACCACTAACATCATTTTTGATAACATTTCTTGTCTCTAGTCCCCAAATAATCTCAAATTTCATGAAAGTATGGACTTTTAAAGTTTTATTTCTTAATATATTTTAGCACATTTTCCAGAACCTAATAGTTACCAAATAAATACTATGAATGGATGAATGAATTAATTAATGCCCTAATTTTCCTGAATATTTCATTTTAAACTTGTCATCCATAAGTTGTTTAACTTTTAAAAAATTCTCTTTAGAATTTCAGTTTGTACTGACTCTTGGAAAAAGAACCAACTCACTCAATTTTTAGATGATGTCTCTAATTGTGATAACATGGATGGAATGCAGTGCACAAACCTGAGTCTACCCTACAACCCCTACAGCTAATTTTTTCTGTTATTATAAAGTCCTATAATGTGTCTTCTCAACTCTCAAACTTTTGAATTTAAGAGTCATCTCAAGATTTGAAAGCCATTTCTAGATGGAATATCAATTGCCAATTCTGCTATTATTCTAGGAGTTAACTTTCTTTAATTCTATTACAACTTTTTAAAAAGTATGGCTTCCCAGTAATTCATGTGAGAAGACATGAGTTTTATACAAAGTACATAACAAACTAAATTTTCGCTGGAGTAATTGTTCTAGTGACATAAAATAAACGTCTTCAATATACAGTGTGCTATAATGCCTATCAAGCCGCAAGCCTGGCAGGTTGAAGACTATTATTCATATACAGGGTGGAACATGCTTCTTGAATGTGTGAGTCTACACTTATTCACGGTGAAACACATGGAGCCTCAAAGCCAAACCTGCAAACTCCCGGGCTTCATTGACTCGACAGCTCACTTTTGAGATGTAGATTTTAACTATTGATAGTTAGAAAACGTAGAATAAAATTTCAATTCTACAAGCCAATCTTTCTGGAAGATGACTACCTGAAAAATCATTTGGGTGATTCATTTAAAATTCAAGTTTATGGGCTTGTATTAAAATGACAGTAGCATGGGCTACCAATGATCAATGTTTTGTAACATTAACAGAGAGAAAGGCTGTTAGACACTGTAGATCTGATACAACACTACTCTTTATGTGTAACTGTAGGATGTAAGATTTATCTTTGAAATAATTTTATTTATAAAAATTTTGCTATAATTAGTTTACACACAATTTTAGCAAATATATCACTTTATTTGAAAAGTAGATGGCTCACGCCTATAATCCCAACACTTTGGGAGGCCGAGGCGGACAGATCACAAGGTCAGGAGATCGAGACCATCCTGGCTAACACAGTGAAACCCCGTCTCTACTAAAAAAATACAAAAAATTGGCTGGGTGTGGTGGCGGGCACCTGTAGTCCCAGGTACTCGGGAGGCTGAGGCTGGAGAATGGCATGAACCCAGGAGGCAGAGCTTGCAGTGAGCTGAGATCTCGCCACGCCACTGTACTCCAGCCTGGGTGACAGAGCGAGACTCCATCTCAAAAAAAAAAATTAAAAAAAAGAAAAGTAGAATGGTGTGTAATATACAAAAGTTAAAGATAAAAGAATATAGATACACTGTATTTCAGCAAAGACTTATTGAGTTTCAAAATATCCCCAAATATGGACTCTAGTACTTGAGAGAAACAGCAGAGGTAGGAAGGTCACTGTGACCTCTCCCTGCTTCTTCTCTCCTGAAAACCCTCATGAGACAAGTGTCTTGCTGTTTAGCCAGAGGGAAGGACTGTCACACAGGGACTCTAGCAAGAATCCGAACAAACAGGCCTTCATAAGTTCCCCCCAGTTTAGTGCCATTAGACCATACCCGTTTGTCCTCCAATCACACTTCTGCACGATTGTCCATAAAAACACACAGTTGTCCCTGGGTTTTCAGGTCTTCATTTCTGAAGGTTCCCATGTCATGTAAAACTTATATTAAACAAAGTTGTATGTTTTCTCTTATTAATTTGTATTTTGTTACAAGGGTTTCAGCTATGAACTCTGTGATGGGTGAGGAAAATATATTGCTTTTTCTCTCCTACAGACTAAACATTTGGCCAAAAATTTATTTGAGATAAATTGCTGTCTTATGAGATTTGTTTACTAGAGCGATATTTTTCATTTAGAATACAATTTGCAGAATCCAGTTTGGAGACATGAATGTAAAAACCCATTGTCATTTACACATTGAGAGCTAGACATATGTGTAAAAACCCATTGTCATTTATACTCGGAAAGCTTTCTTATTGTGTTTTCCAGAAAAACATCACATCAGACAAATTTGGTTTTACAAAACTGAATACCATATTTAACATACTCTATGTTTTAATGTATGTGACTTTATTCATAGTATATATGAATTTGTGCAACACAGGCATGTTACAATAATGTTAAATGTTATAAAACAATTTCTTAATGGTGTAATAATGTGCGTTTATAATTCTGTCTATATAGGGCTCCAGCTTTTAGACCTTTTTATTTTGGTTTATTGAATTTTGAAATTTTACTATTTCTGCTATGGACTAGATGGATATAAAGTACATTGGGGAGAAATTGCAAAAAAAAATATTACTCCTTGTAAAATGTAATACTTGTGTGGCCTCTCAGGTGTAGGAAATACAGTTATTCTAGGTTAGCTTTTCCCCACAGGAAGGTGGACTCTGGAAATAGCAGGGGAGAGTTGGAAATAACTGGTAATAACAATGGATGGGTATGGCATTGTTTTGTAGTAGTTGTGAAAAGGGGTTGTCTTCTCATTTTATAATAAGAGGACACATTCTACATAAGGTTAGTTTGCCCGCACAGGTCTTCTCATTTCATTGACTCCTTTCTTCTGTCGAATACTCAAAATAAATAAACCAAGGATGGGAACTGAGTTCTATATGTCTGCTCCTTCTGTTGGAACAGTGCAGATACTAAACCTTTTGCAATGTAGGACCTAAACCTCTAAGTCTCTTAGGAACACCTTGACTTTCTTTCTTATTGTTGCTGAAAATTATTATAATAAATGTTATTTATCAAATGCTTACAACATATCAAACCTATTTTCTGCATATTATATATAAAATGTCACTTAATCTTCATGAAGAACTTGCAACCTAGGTTCATGTTATTATCTTTAAATGGAGAAGTCAAGACTCAGTGAGGTTGTCACAATCATCATGCCTTTAAGCTAATGAATTATAACACAAGGAGTTAATTTTGGTCTGTCAGACTCTAATGCCAATGATATTTAAAATTATTACCAAAACTATTTTTTTCAAAATTTTGCAACACTGAATTCTACATCAATGATTTTGTATGTTGGTCAAGATAGAAGAGTGACTAGCAGATAATTTCAAGCATTCTGCAGGTTGAAATGTGTTATAAATACACAGGACTGAAAATCGAACATTATCCAGCTGCCATGTGAAGAGTAGCAGCCTGTGGAACTGAGAAACTGAGATTCTAACTCTGTCACAGTCCTCCTCTGCTTCAAAAGTGCAAAGGATGAGTTCATGGACCCTAAAATTCGATTTAGAACTATTATATTAGAATTTTGGATTATATAAATATGAAATAAAATTTTGCTAAAAATACCACAAACACACACGATTTTACATGGCTTTTGATTTTGTCATTGTTTTACAGAATTTTAAATGCTTCTGTAGGAGACAATGGAAAAGTTCCTCTTTGCCCTTTGAAGATTTGCTGAAAAATCAACTCATAGAAGGCAGGCTAATAACAGAAAAGCCATACAAATTTATTAACATGCACAGCATGGAGATTCTTAGGACAATGATTACTCAATAGCCCAATGGGATACAGATGTGTATATGCCCTTCTTTTTATGAGAGGGGAGACAGGAGGAACATGGAAATTTGAGGGCTAGTGATTTTCAGAGGAAAATCAATGGACTTGGAGAACATACAATGGCCTAGGGCACGGTCAGTTTGGCCTAGAAACCAGACAATGGTTTGTGACAAAAATCTGTCCAGCTGTGTTGACAGACTTCAGTCCTTTTTCCTGTGATATGGGAGTTAATGGACCTCAGGGGAGAAACCAGTGGTAACTGCTTTCTTCTTGGGTGGATCTAAGCCTTGGGCAAATGAGGAAACTTCAGAGAACACTCCATCCTCTGCTTTGGGAGAGACAGAGGATTGAGAGTTGGGAAGGTGGCAGGAATTCAGAGAGACCTGAGGCTTCTACTTCAGTTCAACATGTCAAAGCGCTACATTTTGAGGTATCAGTTTCTGACCTCCAACGTTTTACATGTACTGTATATTGATTTATGCTATTTAAACTATTCTGAACATCAGGGAAGTGTTGGCTGAACCATTAATTCCTATGCAAAACAAAACTATCACACCTAACTAGGTTTATCACAAATTTACAAAGAGGAATCAACATAGTCCATTAAATTTCTCTAAAATCCAGGCAATTTACTAATTAATACTTTATCTTTCTAAATTTTATTAGCAACCTGATTCTTAAGACGTGGTAGACAATCGAAAACTATTTTATTACAAGACTATGAGAATTTGATAGAAAAGCTGTCTTCCAATTGAAATAACAAAGAAAACTCTTTCTTTTATTAGCAAGTTAATAAAATGTTCCCTTTTGAAAATATACTTTAGGCTGTGAGTGGCAGCAATTGTTGAAGAGTTCTCTTCTTAGCTATTCAAATGTAATCTACAAGTAGGCAACCCATTGCTGGGGGAGGGAGTTTTAACAGGACTCCCTCTTACAGCATGTGCAAAGTTGGTCCCTATGGAAAAAGAAGGGACATTTCTTTGGGGAAAAGGGTCCAAACTAAGAAAGGGATTATGACTGCAACTACTTTTCCTGTTGATATTCAATGGGCTTCTACTTGTAGTCATGCTTGCGGTTTTCCAAAATCTGTGGCTCCACTTTCCATCATTATCCAGGCATCATCAGGGCAGAAAAAAATGTATGAAACTACACAGAACTGGTCTTCATTAGTGACAACACATAGCTGTTTTAGAAACTTTGCCAATAGTAGACTGACAAGACACTAAAGTTTAGAGACAGTCAGTCCTGACTTCTTTTGGCTAAATAAACCCCGAAGATGTGGTAGCAGATTTTCAAGGAGGGGATACCAGGGTATATCTCCATCTCTGGGGTTCAGGACACACTACCCCAAAATATGGCACCTTGGCATTTGAGAAAACAGCAGAAGCAGGAAGATTACTCGGACCTTCTCCTGCCCTTCTCCAAAGCAGGTTGTATGACTTTCATTCAAAATGTGCCCTTCTATACCTGGAAGAAAAGAGCATCCTTATCTCTGAAGACACAAGGACACAGAGAAGCACATGAACAAATAGGCCTTGCTAAGTTCCCCAAACAGTTGTCCTCCAATCATATTTCTCTACAACTACTCACTCTTCTTCAAACCTAAGCATAACAATGTACAGATTTACCTGTATATTTCAATTTCCATTTATGAAAGCTCCGTGTCATAAAAAACTTACATCAAATACATTTGTATGTGTTTCTCTTAGTAATCTGTCTTTTGCTACAGGGGTCTCAGCCATGAACCTAAGATGGGGGAAAAATATTTCTTTTCTTCTATAATCTCCACCTCTATCTGTATCTATTTATATCTGAAATCTCTATGTAACATATTTCAAAAGAGGTACAATTGATTAATTAGAAAAATAACATTAAAATTTTACTGGATGATGAGATTACAAGTAATGTTTTTTACTGATTTCATTTTCCAAATTTTCTGCAGTAAAGGGATAAGGGTTTTCTTTTTAGTATTTCATTAAGCAAATGAGAGTGAGAGCAAGATAAAGAGAGAAAGTAAGGAGACAGTACGCAGAATACTTAAACAACATAATTAGCTGATCAAGTGAACATGGCGCCTAACAGTTGCATAATATACATTCTTTTTAATAACTCATGAATCATTTAAGAAACTTGGCAAAAGGCATTTCATAAACAAAGTTTGCCAATTGTCAATTGATTTCTATCTCTAGACCAATGACATTGGGTTAAATTTTATAACAGAAAGATAACATACCTCTAAATAATTCACAAAACTTAAAGATTATAATGAAAATTAGAAAGTATTTGAGCTAAGTAATATTTACAATTGACTGTAATTCTAAATATGAAAACGTGATGTGGCTAAAACAATAGAGGAAAATTTATAGCATCAAATGTGTATTATAAAATGTATATTATAAAAGAAGAGATGGCAATAATTATGTATGCAATTTAAGAAATGTGAAAAAGAAACAAAAAGAGGAAAACGATATAACAGGAATCAATTGATCCAGGCATACGAACTGGCTCTGTGAAAAGACTAACAGATTAACAAATGTTTGCTGAAAGCACAAATAATACTAGAAAGTAAAAATAAATAATTATATATGAAGACATCATTGCAATCAACCAACATAATCAATTATAACTGATACATTTGAAATTTTGAGGAAATAGATAAAAGTGTGAAAGATTAGAAAGAAAACAAACTTTCTTTGAATATTATATAATTGTCTGTGTAGAAAATCCAAAGGAATCTATAGACAATTTGTAAAGTAATAATAAGGCTTAGAAAGGCTAGTGAAAATATGTCAATATAAAAAATGTATTCTATAAGTCAACAAATATATATTTTTTAATACTTCATTTTTAATAGAATTGAAAATATGGTCGTATTTAAAAACATGATATGTGATACCTATAAAAATGCTTGTTTATTAAAAGATAGTAGGAAGACCTATTTCTAATAAATGAGAAGATATATCTAGTTCATGGTTTGAAAGAGTTAATGAATAATATTTCAAACTTCTCTAACAGTATCTATAAATTTAATGCACTCAAAATCCAATACGCGTTCAGTGTAAATTTATAAGCCGAATCTGTAATGTATCTCAAAGTATAAACATTCATGAATTATCAAAATCCTCTTGAAGAATGCTAACAAGGTGAGAGGGGCTGCTTTACCAATTATTTGTTATCAATTTATTATAAATAATAAAATTTATAACAGTATGGTAATGAAACATTAACACTCAAATGATAAAAGAGAATAAAGAGCCAAGAAATTACCTCATATAGACAATTGAGGACTGCCATGGTTGTGCAGAACCATAGAAAAACAATGAGCCTTCCAATAAATTGTGATCATACAATTAGAGATAAGACCCAAGAAGAAAAGAAAAGGATGAGAGACAGAGGGATAAAGTGGAAGGACAGGGAGAAGGAGAATGTGGGAGCAAAAAGGAGGGCAAAAGAGAATGGAGGAAAGGAAGGAAGAAAGAAAGGAAAGAAGGAAGGGACAGATGGAGAAAGGGCAAGAGGGAGGGAAAATTGAAGAGTAAACGAAAGAGCTTAGACTCCTGCCTAGTACTACTCACAAAACTCAATTTCAAGGAGACTAAAGACAAAAAAGTGAAAGTATCCTTTCGATCTTGAAGTAGGAAATTCTTTTAAGCATGACGTAAAAGAAAGAACATACTGTAAAGTTAATAAATGAAGTTGAGTATATCGAATTAAAAATTATTGTTTATTAAAGAATATCACAAAGAGAATAAAAGAACAAGATGAACTTGGAAATAATGTAATTGCTTTTGACATAATTTACAAAGGAATGATTTCCAGAATATATAAAGAGATCCTCAAATCTATAAGGAAAAGACAGAAAATGTAATTTTAAAATGGGTAAAAGAAAAGAACAAGAATATTACAACTGAGAGATGGAAATTATAAACGAGAGGATGATTTTTTTAAATGCCAACTCTTTAGTGAACTGGAAAATGTAAAATAAAACCCCAATTACAATCAACTCTCATCAGATGCACTGTGATTAGTCTGACAGGATTAGTCTGGCCGTGTGTTTGAAGCACGGAGGAGAGATGTCCTCAAACACACTGCCAGTCTCCCCTCAAGATGGCTGTCAGATTTTTAGCCACATGAGTAAAATCTCAAGAGCTAAATGAAAAATCCTCCAAAGACAATAATGAATATCCTTCCATCTTTGCTTGGTGGGGTGAGGAGATAGGGAATTGCCAGGCTCTCAATTAAAAAATTCTATGAAAGGCACATTCACAGACTAGAAGCAAACTAGAAATAGACTGAGTGGTGCTGAAATTGCCTCAGGCACAGACCTGATTACATCATAGTGATCAGCTTGTCACCCTATCTTCCTCACACAGGAACGAGGAGAACTTCTAGGGAAAATTAAAATAATCTGCCATCTTTTATATATGTCAGAGGTATAAAATTAAAAATAGCCAATTACCATACATATAAACAGGCAGAAAAATGTGACCAATAATTCAAAGAAAAAAAAACAAAATCAGTAGGTCCATTGACGACAATAGCATTAGAATTACGCCAAGAATTTTAAAATAACTAAAATAATTATTATAAATATGTTAAATAGAGGAGACAAAATAAATGAACAAGGAAGAATTGTGATGTATAAGTGGAATTGTAAGAAAAAATAGATACACTAGAACCAAAAGATATAATAACTGATGTGCATTCAATGCATGAATTAATTGATATAAAGACCCATTGGATAGTTTAACAACAGACTGAACACAACAGAAGACAATATTAATAAACTCTACAGTAGGTCAGTAGAAAATACCAAAACTTAGTACAGAGAATAAAGAATGAAAAGAAGAAAACAACGCACAACAGACATATAAAATATGTGATCGGAATGTCTCATGTATGTGCACTGAAGTTCTAATGATGAAGGACCAAGAGAGTGAAGCAGTAGCAGTATTTGCAGAGATAAAGGCCTTAAAACTGATAAAATACATGTGTTTATGAAGCTCAGCAACTCCCAAGCAAGATAAATACAAATAAAACCACACATAGGCATGTCGTAGTCAAACTGCTGTAATTCAAAAGTAAGGAGAAAAATTGTGAGGACATTCATAGGAAAGAGGCACATCATCTTTTAAGGAGTATTGTTGCCTTGAACAAATTAAATACACAGAAAAGAATGAAATGGTATCTGTAACGTTCAGGAGAAAAATATATTGTCAAACTGAAAGTCTAAATCCTGCTAAAATAACCACCAAAAATGAAGGCCAAATGACAACTTTTTTTAAGAAATTACAAATTGAGAAAATTTAAAGTTTACCAACAGATCTGAATTACCAAGAAATACTACAGGAAATATGCCACGCTGATGGAAAATGATTCAAGATGGAGGGGCAGAACCCTAGCAATGAAGGAAGGACAACTGTGTAGGTAACTTTAAAAGAATACTGACTGTAAGTGGAGTTAAAATGTTGTAGGCCACATACACTTTTTAACAATTGCTAAAACCATTATACTAATTTAGAGTACACTCTATCAAGTCGGAGGTGCATGCCGTAAAGAGCAACCACTAGAATTATAATGTAAACAACTAATAGAAGGGATAAAATGGAAGATTGAGAAGTGGATTAATTCAAAAGAAGGCAATAACAGTAGAATAAAGTAACAATTAGATAGTGCAAATAGATAATAAACTGAAACATTCTCTATATAAATCCCACTCTATCAGCAATGGCATAAAGTATAAGGGTTGGGCTACTCTTGGCACACTGCCTATTGGGTATCCCTGCTCTGCAAGGAGCAGTATATATATAAAAGAAAATAAAAAGTATAAGGGGTGAAAACATTCTACTTGAAGACAAAAGCTATGAGACAGGATACAATATAGGATCCAATTATGCACCATTTATAAGAAACATATTATAAATATATGGACACAGATGGATTGAAAGTAAATTACACACAAAAAAAATTCTATCTAGACACTAACCAAAAGCATGCACATAACACTTTATTAGCATAAATGCTAGGTTATACCAGTGCATGGATGTATGCAAAAAGTTATTGTAAAGATTTGTAAATATGTTCACAAATTCCTTGACACCTTCTCCTTGAAGAATTAGAGCCTAAGTCCCTTTCCCTTGAACATCGGTGGGACGTAGTGGCTTGATTCCAATGAATACGTGTAAGGAACGGCGGGGTGACTACAGGGACTAAGCCATAAAAAGCTTCCCCTTCACTTGTCCTCTATTGAGAGTTTGCCCACTCTGGGGAAAGCCAGATGCCATTAGTGAGGACACTCAAATAACCTTGTGGAGAGGTTCACACAGCAAGGTAACAGCAACCAAGTGACTTCTTCATTTTATAGCCATGAGAGTTCCAGAAGGGGATGCTCCAGCCTCAGTGGAGCCTTGAGATGACTGTGGCCCATGACAGCATTCTACCTGCAGACACAGGAGACCCTGAGCTGGCACTAGTAATATCTGGCTGAGCGACTCAAACCCTGTCCCACAGAAACTGGGGGATAACAAGTGCCCGTTGTTTTAAGCCATAAAGTTCTGCATAAATGTTATACAGATATCAATAACTAAGATATGGGCATTGGGCTATGCATTCAATATCTGTGATACACACACACACACACCCCTTAAATCTTACATAGCACCAAATAACTAAAATCAGCTGAAAACACAATCAGGAAACTGATAAAAGGGGCAACATTTTGGGAAGAAATAAAATTGTTAATATTGTGTTTTTAAAGGCCAGGTACCTAGGTAATGATGACATTGCTAATTCTATTATTCTTCATCATGGATAAATTTTAAATAATTCTGAACATTTCTCCAAGCTGCACAGCCTAATGATGTTCACTAAATGTTGTTGATGGAGAGATCCAGCTAGGGTATTAATTGCTCACTAATAGTTTCTTTTCTATTTTTTTTTTTTTTTTGAGACAGAGTCTTGCTCTGTTGCCCAGGCTGGAGTGCAGTGGCGCCATCTCGGATCACTGCAAGCTCCACCTCCCGGGTTCACGCCATTCTCCTGCCTCAGCCTCCCCGTAGCTGGGACTACAGGCACCTGCCACCACGCCCGGCTAATTTTTTGTATTTTTAGTAGAGACAGGGTTTCACCGTGTTAACCAGGATGGTCTCGATCTCTTGACCTCATGATCTGCCCGCCTTGGCCTCCCAAGGTACTGGGATTACAGGTGTGAGCCACCGCGCCCAGCCAATAGTTTCTTAATAATAGTGAATTATGGGAACATGCCTATTCTATCCAATTAGGGATTTTCTTAAGGGAGACTGTGCCAGAAATTTTTTGAGTACAAATTCATTTTTAGTTTTTAATATATTTGCATTAAAAAGAGACTAGAAATTTAACATATTTTTTGTCAAGTTGTCATGGCTTTTAGAATAAAAAATTATTGGTAATTTTTGGGAAAAAAATTACCATTTTTTGAAAATGCTATTGCCGATCGCAAATCATAAAATTGTTTCTGGCAACAAATGTACAAGCAGAGGAAGTGGTTGAAGGGAATTATATACATAGTATGTCCTTTTTTTCCCTTTTTCCTGTGGTTTAGCAAGTTGTAACAAAACTGCATAAAATTGAATTTAGGAAAGTGTATCTCTATTAAATTGAAATTATATAGAATTATTTTCAGCTGGTCAAGCCATTTTTGGCACACAAAACAACATTTCTAACCGAAAAATAGCAGCAAACGAGCACCTTGCAAATGTTCATAAACACAATCAACAGTTCATTATGATATCAAGTATCACACAGTAAACAGGATCAAAACCAGACACAGTAGATAATTATAGCAGTGAGAATCAGCTTAAGTCCAATCTATCTTCCCTGATGCCAACTCCTTCCTGTTGCTTTTATCACGAGTAAGTAAAAGATGCCATTCTTTCCCTTTCTTCCTTTCCCTTCTAATTGTCACTAATTCTAATGTCACTGTTTTCTAATTCTAGTGAGTCACAGAATGCTGTCACCTAAAATAGAAAACGGTGATGTTTAGGTTCATATTCTTTACATCCCTTTCTCTTGATAAAGACCATGTATGGGGTGGAAATAATCCTGATTCATTGTGTGAATATAATTCTGTATCGAAATTTACTCATTTTATAAAGTTAGCCTTTTCTGTATTAATTTTGAAGTGCTTGTGCCTACTTGGAGTTTCTCAATTGGTTTTGATGTTTTCTGTTTGCTTTCTGTAAGGGTTAGGGGGAAGAGAAATTTACATTTGTTTGGATATTTTAAAAGTCATTATTCTTGCGGTTTCTTCCTGGATTATCCATATTGAAAAAAATCCTCGTTCTTGTCTTAGCTTGGTCTATCTTTAATGTTATGCCAAAATCTCTTATTGGTTGTCTTCTGACTTTTGCTAGGCTTAAAGCTCTCATTGCTGGTTTCTCTGAGATAAATAAGATAGCTGCAAGTATGTCTCTGCCTAGGCTGAAAATGAGAAACTTAGTAAGAAATTGTACCCATTTATTTATAAATTTGCAAAATTAAAAAAAAAATGGTGAAGAGTATTCTTTATTCTTTTTGCAACATGGGGTTTCATTCCTCATAAAAGTAACCAAATAGGAAGAAGGAAAAGAGTAATGTGATTTCTTCAGAGAAGACTGAGTGCAAGCATGGTTTTGTGTCCGTGCTTGGTTTTGATATATAGAGGCAACTGTCATTTATTCTTAATTGCACATCTTGTAAAATCTAATCCAATGTTTGTTTGTCTGGGTTAAAAAGTGGAGAATTAACCTGAAAATTGGAAATATTTGGCCATATCAGTGCAAACAGAGTTATCTGACTTTTTAAAATCCTGCTACTTTGTAGGCAGTAAAGACATCAGTTTGTAGGAATTCTTGGAAAAATGAACAATAAAAAAAATTCCTCAGATTTGCCTTGCAGAAGAACAGAAAGGGCAGAGTGGTACATTTCAGGTAGATTATCCCAAAAGTCCTCATCATGTGACTATTGAAGGCCTGTTTATAAAATAGCAAGGACATGAAATAAAACTATGTTGAATGTTTTAAAATATATCAAGCTTCATAAAGGGTCTTTGGTTGTTCATTGTAAAGAATACAGGACCAGTGAGGTTTATATTATAATACTGAGTCTGCTCTCATTACAAAATGACCTGCTGAGGAACTCTATATGATAATGAGTAACTTTTAACTCTTTAATCTAAGTTTTCTGGGAACCAAAGACCATTCTCTGCTTATAATTTTAGAAGTTCTATATACTTAAGAAGAACTGAGGCACCAGTTAAAAATAATCCAAATGAGAAAAGAAAGAAGGAAAGGAAGGATGGAAGGAAAAAAGACACAAAAGTAAGAAGTGAAATAAAAATAAGATGTTATGAATCATAATTGAGAATTTAAAAAGATATTTCAAATACTTTTCTATTGTTATTTTAAAATAAAAATACAAAAATTTCTTCACCTTTGGAAATATAATTAAGTATAATCTCATAATTACATATGAAATATGTCTTCACATACATCATAGGATAATAAACATAAAAAACTATTGAAAAAGAAATTACACATTTCTCAGATAGCTGTTCTTAGAATATGTAACTCCATGTAAAATTTTATATGACAAGGTGCCAGTAGTACTGTTTTAAATGAAAGGTAAACTTCATATTCTTGTAAAAGAAGAAATATCTCATTATCCTGGTTCTCATTTAAAAAATAAGTAAAAATAAATAAAATAAAGAAGAAATAAAAATAAGCATGTTTGGACCAAGATTTAATTAAGTTCACATAGGCGTGTTCTGAAAGATATCATAGATCAGAATTACAAGTTAAATTATAGAAGTAGATTTTCCAGGTAGAACTAAAGAATAATTTTACCAATTGGCACTTTAGAATATAATGGTCCTAAAGGGACACTAGTGCCTCTGCTCATTTCTATACCACTTCTTTCTGTAAAGCATGATGTGTACTGTTTTCCAAAGTGGCCGAATGATTCTGATTCTCTTCAGCAATGTCTGAGAATGGTGGTTGTTTTACTTCCTCATCGGTATTTGAGGTTTGTCAACCTTAAAAGGTTTAAGCTTTCTACATGTGTGGTGGTGACTCCTGGTGGTTTTAATGTACATTTCCCTAATGATTAATGATACCGTACATCTTTTCTTGTGTTTATTAGCCATTTATACACGTTTCTTAGTGAAGTGTCAAACATTTTCCCCATTTCCTCTTTTTTTTTTTTGAAACAGAATCCTGCTCTGTCACCCAGGCTGGAGTGCGGTGGTGTGACCTGGGCTCACTGCAACCTCCCCCTCCTGGGTTCAAGCGATTTCCCTGCTCAGCCTCCTGAGTAGTTGGGACCACAGGCGTGTGCCACCATGCCCGGCTAATTTTTTTTTTTTTATTTGAGTAGACACAGGGTTTCACCATGTTGGCCAGGATGGTCTCTATCTCCTGACCTCGTGATCCGCCTGCCTTGGGCTCTCAAAGTGCTGGGATTACAGGCGTGAGCCACCGCACCCGACCCATTTTCCTTATTTCTTAATTGAGTTGATTACTTTCTTCTAATCAAGATACATTATGTTTCTGGATACAGACCTTCATCAGATACCTGCTGTGCAAGTTTCTTTGAACTAGGGGTGGCTTACCTTTCCTTTTCTTAAAAGTCATTTAAAATTTTTTCCCATTTTTACTAATTCAATTTATCAATTTTCTGTTATAATTTGTTCTTTTTGTGTCCTATCTAAGAAATGATTACCAAATCAAGGTCATGTTTTCTTCTAGGAATTATTGAACTTTAGCTCATAAATTTAATAATCCATGTAAATTTAATTTTTTAAATGGTATAAAATAAGGGTTGAAATGAATTCTTTTTCATATAAATAACCCAATGTCCTTGCATCATTTTTTGAAAAGACTATTCTTTCCTGTTAATTACCTGGCAACATCTTGAAAAATAACTACGTATAAGTCTGTTTCTGACATCTCTATTCTGTTCCTTTATTCTACATTTTATCTTTATAGAAATACCACACTGTTGTGAACGCAGAACTTTATGGTGAGCCTTGAAGTGTTCTCAGCCCTGTGATTAGCTCTGTCTTTAGTGAGTCTATGCCTCTGGGAAGCCACAATGCTTCTCATCTTCTGCCCTCCTCTTCTTTTTTTTTTTTTTCAAGTCAGAGTCTTGCTCTGTCACTCAGGCTGGAGTGCAGTGGCACCATCTCAGCTCACCGCAAACTCCACCTCCCGGGTTCATGCCATTCTCCTGCCTCAGCCTCCTGAGTAGCTGGGATTACAGGTGCCCAGGACCACGCCGAGCTAATTTTTGTATTTTTAGTAGAGATGGAATGTCACCATGTTGGCTATGCTGATCTCGAACTCGTGACCTCGTGATCTGCCAGCCTCAGCCTCCCAAAGTGCTGGGATTACAGGAGTGAGCCACAGCACCCGGCCACCCTCCCCTTCTTCTTAAGTGGAACAGAAAAGCTTGAGCAGCTGGGGTTGGGACTCTCCCCTTGCCCACCTCACTTAGGCTCTAAGAAAATCCCAGCAGGTTTGGCTCTGTTAGTTTCTCTTGAGGGGAAATCTTTTCCAAAACTGAATGTTCTGCCCTGTTTCCTATTTCAACCTGGGGTTCCTTTTCCCCACCCCCTGCTGGAAGTACAAGGGGATTTTTCCCTAATCTTCAATATCAGGTCCTGGTGAAACTCCTGGAGATACAAGATGTAAATGTACGGCTGCTTCTCTATGACTGGGTCCTCCTGGGGGTTCTAATTCTCACACTTGTCCACGTCTACCTTACAGAAATTTGTCAATTCCAGTTCAGATTCCACCACTGATTCCCAAAGAGTTCTTGCTCTTGACTTTCTGCTCTGGCACACTGTGATTCCTGTATCGGCCTTTCTGTCTCTCCAATATAGGGGCAGTCCTTTTCCCCGTGGCTTCACTTCTCTAATGAATCTGAGAAAAGTTCATTTTTCAGTTTAGCTTTTTAGCAATTGTTAGGACAAAGTGTCCTCTTTTTTAGTGCTTAATACTCTCTTTCTAAACTTATAAAATAAAAATAGAACAGAATAATCTGTAGAGGCAATAGATAGCAACAGTCGTTGGAAGTGGCCTCTCGGATCCCTACATTTGTCTCTGTGTATCCAAAGAGCTGCAGCGCTGGCATAAGTGGTGTTAACCTGAGCACCATTTAAATATCTGGAACAGCAAAGGGGTATGGTGGAGATGACTTCGTGTAACTCAGGTTGAATAAAAGATTCATCTTGGGATGAGCAAATTGGCACTTGGGTCCCTCAGGGCAGAAGCCACGAAATAGTTGAGACACATTATTCTGGGGACATGGCGATATTTACACGGAGACAAAACTTGGAGTAGAAGTAGCACTCGGGCATCGCGGTGAGGTCAACCGGTGCAGGAATGTGGAGTACAGGTAGCATTCCGGCATCGTGGTGAGGTCAACCGGTACAGGAACGTGGAGTACAGGTAGCATTCCAGCATCGTGGTGAGGTCAACCGGTGTAGGAACGTGGAGTACAGGTAGCATTCGGGCATCGCGGTGAGGTCAACTGGTGCAGGAACACGGAGTAGAAGTAGCATTCGGGCATCGCGGTGAGGTCAACAGGTACAGGAACGTGGAGTAGAGGTAGAATTCGGGCATCGCGGTGAGGTCAACCGGTGCAGGAACGTGGAGTAGAATTAGCACTTGGGCATCGCGGTGAGGTCAACCGGTGCAGGAACGTGGAGTAGAATTAGCACTTGGGCATCACGGTGAGGTCAACCGGTGTAGGAACGTGGAGTAGAGGCAGCATTTGGGCATCACAGTGAGGTCAACTGGTGCGGGAACGTGGAGTAGAAGTAGCATTCGGGCATCGCAGGAGGTCAACCGGTGCAGGAACTTGCAGTGGTCGCCCTTCTTGCACAGCCCCCAGAGCCGGTGCTTACACACCACCATCATCTTCCCTTGGTCATGCCAGAAGGGGCAGTTTCCGTTTCTCACAGAGCCCTTTAGTGAACAAGTTGCACACAGCTGAGCCCGACTTGTCCTTGCCCTGGAAAGACAGGAGCCCAGTGCCCTTCTGCATCTCATTGTCTGTTTCAAAAGGACACTTTGTCCTAACTTGTTGTCTAAGGTGTTATCTCAGCTTATTGTCTCATGACTGAGAAAATTAAGGAGCATGGGTGAAAATGAAAATGGTGAGGTTGGAGTGAAAGTGTAATGAACAAAAAATGAAAGCTCTCTGCAGGGGAGCGGGGAGCCAAGTGGTTTTCCGTTTTTACAGTTGAATCCCAAAAGTTTGTATAAGAAACTCCTCTCAGTTCTGTAGCTGTTTGCGTAACTTTTCTTCATCTGAAAAGCTGTCTGCTCAACTCCCTCCCCCTTGTCTGTGTAGCTGTGGGTATGACTCTAGGCAAGCACAAAGCACCGCTTCTCTTGTTTGTAAAACTGTGGGTTTGTTTTAGGGAAGCCCCCTCCTCCCTGTGCAAGTTCCCACCGAGCCCACTGCATACATGTCTGAAAAGAAGGGGAAACTTTTCCCTGGGAGCTGGTTAATCACACGAAGAACAAAAGGCTTCTGTGCCGGACCTTGCGTGCTTGTCTGTGCAGGTGCATCCTGAGTTTTCCCCAGGCTGCTCTATTTTTGCCTGTAGCTGCGATTTTTCAGGCAGGCTGCCTCTCCGAGGACCAGCCTTAACTGTTTACCTAACTGATTTTTCCTTTTCTTCTCCCTCATTACTTTCAAACTTCTTATACAGAACCAGAAGTCTCAATTTTCTTTTTAAAGAGGCTAAAAATTAAGAACAGGGTGTTTTATATTTACTCACACTTTTCCCATTTTGGTGCTCTTTATTCCTTTGCATAGGTAAAAATGTCAGGCTGGGCTTGGTGGCTCGCGTGTGTAATCCCAGCACTTTGGGAGGCCGAGGCGGGCTGATCACGAGGTCAGGAGATCAAGACCATCCTGGCCAACATGGTGAAACGCTGTCTCTACTAAAAATACAAAAAATTAGCTGGGCGTGGTGGCAGGCGCCTGTAGTCCTAGCTTCTAGGGTGGCTGAGGCAGGAGAATCGCTTGAACCTCAGAGGAAGAGGTTGCAGTGAGCTGAGACCCCGCCACTGCACTCCAGCCTGGGTGACAAAGAGATACTTAGTCTCAAAAAAAAAAAAAAAAAGAAAGAAAGAAAGAAAGTCAGCCTGTTATCATTCCTTTTGCAAGAGGAATCAATTTTGACATCATTTGTTGTGCCTATGTTTGATAAAACTCTTTTTGTTGACCAGGAAAAATCTTATTTCACCTTCATTTTTGAAAGATATTTTCACTGAGTATAGAATTCATAGCTAACATTTTCTAGCACATTAAAGAGGCCATGCAATTTACTTCTGGTTGATGTGATCTCTAGTAATAATTTTCTGCCACATTTATTTTTATTTCTCTGTATATAATGTGTTTTTTTCCTGGTTTATTTTAAAATTATCTATATTATTGGTTTTCAGATATTTTGTGTTTATGTGCTCAATTTGTTTTTATTTAAACAAATAAATTTGCAAAATTGGGGGTATACATTTTTAAATATTTTTCTCCCTTGAAATTATCTATTAGAACTCCAATTGCAAATGTGTTAGACCACTAAATATTGTCTTAAAACTGAATGAAAGATTGTTCTTTTCTGTTCAACCTGGTTTTCTTTGCATTCTGTGCTTCATTTTGAATAATTTTGATTGGTAGGCTTTCAAGTTTGCTAATCTTTTAGATGCTTTTTCTATAATCGAATGTAATTGTCCTTTTTGACATGTTTTTTATTTCTCGAAGTTCCATTCCAGTCTTTTTATATCTTTTATTTTCTCCATATTATGTTTATCTTCATTTACTTCACTGAGCATAACCATAAGATTTATAATAATCTTTTGAAATCCTTTTTTACTAATTTGATCATCTTTGTTATTTCTGCATATGTTTCTGTGGGTTTATTTTTCTCCCGGTTATGAGCCAAATGTTGTTAGTTTGCATGCCTGGTAATTTTTTACTGGGTGGTAGACATTGTGAATTTTATGTTATTTGTGCTATTTTTTTTTACATTTTTTAAAGAGTTTTGGATTTTGTTTAGTCACACAGGTAAGAACCTTATGGGTTAGTTTTATCCTACTTTATCCTATTGAGCTTTGTTAGGTTGGGTCTAGAACATCTGTATTCTTGTGCTAGTTTAGCACAATTAACTAATTTAACCCTTCTACTAAGGGATGTGTCCTTTCTGGATTCTACACTAACCCCATATATTAAGAAGTCCCTACATTCTGGCAGATAGGACATGAAGTATTCCTAATGCAGTTGCCGTAGAATTATTTTGCCTACTGCTTTCTTTCCCCAGTCTCATGGAATTTCCTCTCATCTCTATTTTGCAACAAAACAAAACAAACAAGCAAAACTGGAAGAGTCTCTTCTGAAGATCTTGAAAGTTCTCCCGGTATGTATCTTATTCTACCAAAGTACTTTACCTTTCAACTTCTGGATACCTCAGCCTCCTGAAATCCTGAAGCTGTTCAATCCACTGCTGTGGTTACCTCAGCCTCCTGAAATCCTGAAGCTGTTCAATCCACTGCTGGGCTTTAGTTCAGGTTCCCTTCACTTTGCTATAGAAAATTCCTCCAGACATAAATCTTATCTCATTTGTTTTCTTCCCCCATCAGGTGTTTTAGTCTTGTGCTGTTTGTCACCTAAAACTGTTGCTTCATATCTTTTTTTCCAGGTTTCTAGTCATTTACTCTCAGAAAGCAATTTCTGTAGCTGTTAATTCTTCATGGGCAGAAGTGGAAATCTCCACAGTGTGTCCAACTTATTTCAGTATAATCTTATTTAATGCATTTGCTTTGATGTTTTCTGATGTGTTTGATTTGTTTTCCTCTAAATTCTGCTTAAAAGTCTTTTCAGGAGGTGGTAGTGTTGAGCCGAAAATGCAGAGCATACAACTGAGATTCAAAATAGTATTGGGAAACAGCTACCTATGGGTCCACTTCAGTCACTTGACAACATTGTCCTCATTTTTCTAATCTGCAGAATAAGGATATTCATATCCATCTTGTAGGTTTGCTATATGGAATATAAGACATATTTTAAGTACCTAGGGAACAAATTTAATAAGCTTAATATAGAAAAAAGAGATATTGTGTATCAGAAGATTGTTAGAGAAAGTATTATGGTAAGCCACTAATTATTTTCAATATATACTAACTTAAAAAACCTACTTTATATATAAACACAAATTCCCAGAAGCAAAACCCTTATACTCTAGATTAGGCCAATGCAATTGACTGGACATTATAATCTTTTTGCAATTGTATCAGCGAAGAAAGCTGTTTGAACAATCATCATGATGTAACAGCTGATTTTGCTTATAAAACACATTTAGTGTTTCTTTCTCTCTCCCTCTCTCTCCTCTTTACCTGTTGAGGGTGAAAAGACAAAATTATTGAACGTGCATCAGGGCATTGTTAATATAAGTGGATGTGTTACCAAACCTGATTTGCAGTGTATTTATTATTGTAATGTTATAACTAAGTACTATATAAATTGATGCGAAATGCATGTGAACAGTTGTATTTAAGACTAGATTAAGTGCTTTGTAAAGACTTTAAAGGTGAAGCAAACATATCTGTGATCAAATTTTTGTTGGCCAGATTGAAGAATTAGTGGGTAGGAGGTGTCGATAAGGAATCATAAAAAGTGTGAAGAAATTTGTTCTTCACCCAAATTCCTATGTTTTTAGTTCTCATTAAACAATATTTTGGATAATACATTAGCTATGATTTGTGCCATAAAATAACACAGAACTCTTCTCAGCAGGTCCAGAGTCAGAAGAAAATCCATGACCTTAAAGTAAAAACGAAAAAAAAAAAATTTCAATCATGTTAAAATTTTCATGTTAGTCGTCTTTTTTTTTTTTTTTTTTTTTTTTGAGACGGAGTCTCGCTCTGTCGCCCAGGCTGGAGTGCGGTGGTGCGATCCCGGCTCACTGCAAGCTCCGCCTCCCGGGTTCCTGCCATTCTCCTCCCTCAGCCTCCCGAGTAGCTGGGACTACAGGCACCTGCCACCACCCCGGCTAATTTTTTGTATTTTTAGTAGAGACGGGGTTTCACCGTGTTAGCCAGGATGGTCTCGATCTCCTGACCTCGTGATCCACCTCCCTCGGCCTCCCAAAGTGCTGGGATTACAGGCGTGAGCCACCGTGCCTGGCCAGTTGTCTTTTTTTAACAGAATTTACAGCTTATTCTAATGGCATCATACAGATGTTTTATATTATTATATAAATGAAACTTTCAACAAATTTCTCTACCCTTACTCTACTTCTCACCCACTTCCTTGTCTTTTTTTCTTGTACAGGTCTACCTCCCTAATCTTCAGTCCCGTTTGAGGGGAACAACTCTTTTACTCAGTTTTCAGCTTTCATGGAATTTTACACTTAAAATTATTCCAATAGTGGTAAGTAAATGGTAGCTGCTTTTAAAGCATCAGACTCTTATGAAAAAAAAAATTATAAACTCCCAATGGCCAATCCAAGTACAAGTTCTCGGAGTGAGAGGCGTCACAATGAATAAGCACACAGGGGCTCTCAAATGTTAACGCATATTGCTGCTATTACCAAGCACTCAGGAGGTTATTTATTTCTTCCATATTGACCATTTCTGATGCTCTAAGCATTGAAATAAATGCTAAAGATACCAAGTGATACATACTCCAGAAAGGATTTAAACAAACATATCAATAATTTTGGTAGTATGAGTTCTGTGATTACCAATTATATAGATTGGTAGGTGAGCTCACTGTAAGGACCCTTGACTCATTTTGATGGGTATTCAAGGAAGATTTCCTAGAAGAATTAACATGTAATATTTTTTTGAGGAACAAATTACATAAAGATATGAGCCCTTAGGTGCAGAGGTTTGGAAACTGATCCAAGACAAGACAGAGAGGGGACGGGGAGAACACGTGTAACACTCAAGGAGTGAAAAGTAGTTGAGTGAAATTGTGTCATAGACTACCAAACTGGCATGGGAGGTTAGACCATGAATCACATGACCTGGTGTTTTAAAATTACCCTCAAAGTAAAAATCTAAAACTTCTGGTAAGAAAATGAGAACATACATTTTTTTGTGTTTGACAAAGATCATTTTATTCATTAATTACTGTCTATGAAATTAAGGTGTGTGAATCCTGAATATCTGAGGCAGGTCTCAGTGAATTTAGAAAGTTTATTTTGCCAATGTTCAGGACAAGCCCATTAACAGAGAGAAAGGCCCGAGGGGGTCAGAGCACATTTTGTTTATACATTTTAGGGAGATCTGAGACATCAGTTAACATGTATAAGATGAGCACTGGTTTGGTCTGGAAGGGCAGGACAACTAGAAGCAAAGGTGGGAGGACTCCAAGTGGGGAGGAGGCTTCTGGGTCATAGGTGGATAAGAGACAAATGGCTGCGTTCTTCTGAGTTTCTGATGCGCCTCCCCAAAGAGGGCAGTCAAGTATGCATTGATGTAGTGAGCAGGGGGGCTGACTTTGAACAGAATGGGAGGCAGGTTGGCCCAGCTTGACTTTGCCTTTAGCTTAGTGGTTCAGGGGCCCTAAGATTTACTTTCCTTCCACAGGTGTTACAATGATGTTATAATACCTCATGCCAGTTTTGATTGTCCTGATTATACTTTTTAAATATTCGTATGTGTATGTGTTTATAAGGAAGGCATGAAAGATACCTCGCACTGTGGCCCTCCTGAAAAGCACCTCCCCTCCACCCAATTTATAGATAATTCAAAGGAAATTCTTTTTTACCATATATATATATGCACATATATATACCATATATATATATTTCACATATATATACCGTATATATATATACGGTATACATATATATTTTACATATATATGGGAAAAAATTAGGAACCAAGAAAAAAACATGAATTACTTGTTTAGTTCATGTATTTATCCAACAAATATTATTTATTATTTGAGTGTCTACTATGTGTAGACACTACAACAGGCACTAGGTATTTAGCAATGACCGAAACCAAAAATTCACTTTTACATAGAAAACAATCTATTTATACACAGGAAAAAGATTCAATAGACTTTTCACAGATGAAAAATGCAAACTAAAAGTTTTAGTATATCATAGCTTAATATATCACAGAACTTTTACTTCAATTCACATTTCTTAACATCTTGTGAGACCATAACTGCACTTTATTCTGAAAAACCTCTTCCAGGACGTTCATATACCACAGAGCCTTGGAAGATACAGGTCCCATTACCTTACAGAGAGAAGAGCAGGTTTGTTTAGTCTTGAAAAATAGAGCTCCTCCTTCTGAAGCAGAGCAGGAATGTTGAATGCCCGCGATGAGAAGAGGAGATTCCCACAGCTTCGTTTGTGCTGTACCACAGTCTACTTGGCAGGCAAGTGTCACCTGGCTCTCTTCACAATGCCCTGTGTTTAGGCTTCTGGGACCCAGAGTCAAGTGACTGGCTATTGCTTCCAGTAATAAACTATTCTTTGTCTCTGACCCAGAACCTCCTGCTGTCTTGAAACAGTCATGAAAATGGAACAGGCTAAACAGCTAGCTTGTAAAGAGAGTGAACTCTCAGACAGTCACAATTATTGATAACAAGTATCTCTTTATCTGTAGTTCAAAATGAATTTCACCTGGGTGACAAGTCCAAAAGCATCAAAAGGTGATAAAGCAATGATTTTAGGTTCTTGGAATTTATATCAAGAAAATTATAAAACCACATTGAGAGACAGAAATAATATCTGAATAAATGAAAAAACATACTAATAAATAATAATAAAACTATAGTAATAGAGGAAGGTTCAAGATTATAAAGATGTGTTGTGCTCAAATTAACATTTTACCTAATTGCATATCAACTACAATTCTAATAAGCTATTCTATTTTATGGAATTCCTACTGGGAAATCAGAACTTGAGGGAGCAAGGGCGGAATAAGGGTGAACAGTGACACACCAATTTTTACACTTTCTAAATTTAACTTTACATGGAAAATGTTTTTACATATTACATATATTGCTTTATTAACTTTAAAAATAAGTAAAATGATTAGGAGTTGTTTAACACTCTTACAAATAATGAAAATGACTAAGAAACTATAATGTATTATTCTTGGCAATGAAGTTAGAATCCACTATAAATTATACAATAAGGCTTTCTTCTTCACTTTAAAAATGTTAGTAAAAATAGTTTACGTTTTTTTTCATGACCATGAACTTTGATAGACAGAAAACACATATAAAGTTCATGTCAATGGTTATGATTACATAAGACATCAAAATGTTAAACTCAGTGACTAGGTTATTTCTTTTGCGATGTCATCAGATAAATTTAGTACATGAGATGGCACATTTTCTGTTTTCTATTTTATGACACATTTTCTACGTTTCTATATTTTTTGTTTCCTATTTTATGTCATGCATTTTCTATTCATAAGAGAAAAGATGACAGTTTATTCTGCGTCTTACAAAAGAAGAGCAAAATGTTTCTTGTCATCTTTATTCATTTTTTAAAGAAGAGACAGCATGTGCATTAGGCTTGTCAATGAGCTTTTTGATGCTCTGTTCTCTATTTATGAGTCTCTGACCTTCTGACAACTTTGATTACCATAAAATAAAATCCAGCAGAATACAATGGTAAAACCATTTAAGCATTTTAAAGTTCTTGCTAAATTTCCTATATTCAAAGATTTCAAAATTCTAAGATGCCCAGAAGATCTAATTTTTAACTTTTAATTCCATTGTTATATTCAGCTTTAGAAGTCTGAGGTCGTATATTTATGTAGCATTTATATATATATATATATTTATATATTTTATATAATATATTATGTATATGGATATCTATATCTCTATATATTCATATATATACATATTATATATAATTAAATAAATATATATATTCAATTTTGAATTTTGATAAAGTTCACTGAAAATATCAAGGTATCAATTTCTCTTTGGTTTTGCATTTATCTTTTATCATATTCCATTTTATAAACTTTAATTTGCCATTGAAAATACATATGCACTTAAACCCAAAAATAGATATTCGACTTGAGTCAATATAACCTATGCATCTGATTCGAGCCTTAGGTCAGAACATTTGCGGAGCATGATCCGGGCAAGGGCAGCTGTTTTTAGAGATGCAGAGCTCTCACCCAATCTTCTCTTCTAAACTCTGTGCATCATTTTAAGTGCAGAGAAAATGGAGACAACTAGTGACCTCAGAAACCTACTAAAATCGTATATATCTCAAAGAGGAGAGAGCTATATTTATATATATATAAATTGACATATATCATATATGTATATCTAATATAACACATTTGGAGAAAAATCTTAAAGTGATTTAATAATAGCATGCAAATTTCCTGGAATTATCTTTCATCAAATTAGAATTAGAATTTCATGAAATGTACAATTGAACTATGACATACCTATGGAATTATTTAATCTCAAGTCTTACTTTCTAGTTACTTACTGAGGTTAGACTTTTTCTCATTTTTTTCTTCTATTCTAGCCTAATCTTATTTTCACCTGTCTTTCTTTTTCTCTTTTAACTATGACTTAATTCATCAAAATTGGTTTTACTCTTTTAGCAATTTACTTCTTCCCTTTCTTTGAACTCTATTTCACTTTAACCATGCCTCAAAGCTAGTGAATGAAATAATTTAATCAAAACTTTTATTTAGAATGTAATATTTTGACACATTTTTAATCAGTTTAAAAAATAAGCTATAAATACTCTTGGATCCTTTAGTAAATTGCCAAGTCTCTATCTTCATTAGCTTATAATTTCTATTTCTCCTAAACCATAATGGTTATTTTGTACATGAGAGTAAATTTTCATATATTTTCAATCAGGTTACACTTAGGGAATTACCCTACTTTCTGGAATTTGGACCAAGCTTTGTTTTGATTCTGAGTGTTATTTCAGCATAAATCAAATCCAAGCAACTTGACCAAATCATCGTATACATTCAGTTAAAAGGAAAAACAAACTTATAAAATACAACCCAAATCACAGTTTGTCTTAAGTTGACATTATTGACTGAATGTAATTTCTGGATTATTTAACTATTTTGATTTCTTCCTCAGATATTTTGCACATAGGAAAAAATACGTAGGTGTTAAAAACTGAAATGGATTTTTAAAAATTATCAGGAAGTCTTTTCCTATGTCTCAAATACAGGTGTTCCACAAAAGTTTGTTTCCATGATTAAAGATAAAAGTCATAATGCCTTCCAGAATTAACTTCTTTGAAAATAAATCTCTGGTTATATTTATGTAGAGTGAATTTGTTTATTTAAAAATATATCTTGTCTCCTAAAGTAAAATTATAATTAGTAAGAAAATTTGTATTAGAAATATTAATTCTGTATATAAATACACCAACAAGTAAACACAGACCGAAATTATACAGTGTAATAGAAATTTTTAATCTGGACTGACCCTATTTATCCCTCAGATGGTTGATAAGTTGAACATTAAGCTGTAGCTTAATATTTAGTTAAGATTCACCAGAAACTATCGCTGCTCTATATTCTTATTTTATTTAATTTCTATAAAATATTTTAATTTTTTGGTTTCATTTCTAAGAAATAAGCTTATAAGTAAATTCTGCTTCAATTTTTTTTTAAAAAAAGCTTAAAGCAGTGTGGTTCATACTGCAGATTACATACAGCCTGTAAGTTGCCCATGAACAAACATTGGTAAGTTGGGATCAGCATTAGAATAGAATAGAATAGAAGAATAGAATAGAATAGAATAGAATAGAATAGAATAGAATAGAATAGAATAGAATAGAATAGAATAGAATAGAATAGAATAGACAAAAGGAAATATTAAAGTATCTGCCAAAGTAGTATTGTCTTGTGACTCTTTTACTGAAAGTATACATTTCTGCACTTACATTTCAAGATGTAGTTATGTCTCTTTCAGAAGATTGTGGTCAAAAACCTTGAAAGCCACTGCTTGAGAGAGCAAAGTGGCTAAGGCTAAAAAAAACAGTGTGATCAGGAAAGCATCTGTTGATGGTAGGCAGAGGTGACAAGCTAAGCCTCTGGCGAGGGACTGTTATTATCTACAAACATTCATAAGAGGTCTTAAGCAGAAGAATCTCTGCAACTCCAATAGGCCAAACCTCAACCATTCTAATACATCTCAGCAGAATTCTGACCTCTCTCTGGTATTTCAACTTCTCAGTTTAAGAAACACAACAATTTGGTTGGTCTGAGAAATGATACTGAGAAACATTTTTATGGGATTCTGTTTCAGTCTTCTCTGTAACGTGGATTTCTCTTTTTGCTTTCACTTGTTGAGCAAGAAAATAGTAACTGCTTCACTCTCTGTTTCCTGCTTAGTAGAAGCAGACCTTAGGATCCCATTAAAACAACTTCCCATCATTGCCCTTGTGAACTTTTCATTTCTACTTTTAGGACCATCCGTTTTCCAATAACATGGTCTCAGATAATACAGATGGAAAATTGCTATGTCACCTTCATTCCTTACATCCAATTGTGTAGCATGCTGTTTAGTTAACTGCAAATGAAGGATTATCTGGCTGTGACCTGTACAAGTACAACTTTTAGTCATTTAATTATTTCACTTGTGATCATGGAAAGACTAAGGTGGCCCTTCTGAAAAATGAGGCTGGATTTGTTGATGTTTGGATGAGGTGAGGCTCTCGGGCAGTGAGGTGGTAAGAAGTTTTCCCAGTGCTCTCGCTGCTGATGGGAAGATGACAGGAAGTTCTTAGCAAAGAAAGTAAGTGGCAACCCCGTCTTCATAATCCCCATGCATGGCCCCACAGGCGGTTCTGTAACCGGGTACCCACATTTTTCTAAGAGATAGTTTTTAAACATTATTTTCTCTTTTTTTCTCCTTTCCACCTTTTCCCTGTTTCTTAGCCCTTTGGAAATGTAAACACAACCTTTCACGGCCACCCCCCGCAGACATTTCCTGCAGAGCAAGTTTAACTCTGTGCTCCAAGAGGGATCTCTCCTGGAGAGTTGACAGTCTATTAATTTGCAGACCAAAGCACGGCCCCCGCAGCCTCGGAACTTTCATCCACCAAGAGGGCATGTGAAAAGCAAGTCCACTTGGCCACTTTGACAACTTATTTCTGCCCAGGAAGGCACCAACTCAATTGCCTGGTACGTAAGGCACCAAGCTAGCAAGGGGGACCCTGCTCTTGCTCACTTCCTCCACTACCTTATAAAAGTACCACTTTCTGCTCCAAAGGTGAAGTGGCATATTTAAAGGCAGGACGCTGTGCCCCTTCCTCAGGCAGGCTTCGGAATAAGCTCACTTGCTTCGTACCCAAACTTCGCTCTTGTTAGTTGGGCTGCGCATGCGGCGAGCAAGTAACCCACATTGCAGTTGCAGTTCCCTCAATGCCCTGTGAAAACGTCATATTGAGTCCAGGCCCCATTCTGACTCCTCAAGAGAATAAACCACTGTGAGTAGCTGGTCTGGGTGCCCGACGAGTCTCTTGCCTTATGCCTTTCTGCTCGCATTTTTCTTGGCTCTATTTTTCCCAGCACTGCTTTTTCCAGGTATGATCATCACTGCACAAATCATTTTACTTACATGGATGACAATTTAAATTTTAGCCAACTGCCTTCTCAACCTTTTTCAGCTGCACAGGCCATTCATATCCATGTGTCACCAACATGACAACTTTCTGCTGCTGGGAGCTCAGGATCCTGAAACTCAGTCCCCTAGTTTGGGGATGCTCAACTCTCTCGGGATAGCTTCTTACCCTGGATCCCTTCATTATAAACCATCCACTATTGTTTACCCTTAAAAACAGGTTCTCAGCTGGGCACGGTGGCTCACGCCTGTAATACCTGCCCTTTGGGAGGCCACGGTGGGTGAATCAGGGGTAAAGAGATCAAGACCATGCTGGCCAACATGGTGAAACCCCATCTCTACTAAAAATAAAAAATGAGCTGGGCCTGGTGGCGCACACCTGTAGTCCCAGCTACTCGGGAGGCTGAGGCAGGAGAATTGCTTGAACCCAGGAGGCAGAGGTTGCAGTGAGCTGAGATGGGGCCATTGCACTCCAGCCTGGGCAACAGAGGAGACTCCATCTCAAAAAAAAAAAAAACCAACAAACAAAAAAACAAAAACAAAAACAAAAAACAGATTCTCAAAGGCAGACATTAGACATTAGTAGCTTATTAGCTCTAAATGTAGTTCTGACTAATTCAAACCTTCCTTTGCATATCCATGAGTACACAAATCATTCTATATTTTAACTTCCTCTCTTGGCCTCTATTTTGTAAATAAAATCACTCACCTCCATGAAAAGATCAAACAAAGAGCCATAGACATAGAGGTTACGCACTGCACCAGGTTGAATAGAAAAATAATTTAATCAAAATATGTTTGTTCTCTGTTGTCTGCCAGGATCTAATCGTTTGAGACAGCACTCTTCCAGGTGAGAGGGGCCACTGTCTTTATTTCAAAAATAAGACAAGTCTGATATTTCACACACATCTTTCATTTTGAGAATCCAATATCACTCTGTCAAAACCACTAATGGAATGTCATAATAATCTTTTTAAAGTAAAAAATTCAGGCAGAAAAAAAGAATCGAATGATTTCAGAATGCCT